>NC_000012.12:40338915-40490431 GCF_000001405.40 Homo sapiens | reverse complement strand
AGCTGATGATCCAATAGTCCCTGTCACACCAGCTGATAGTCCAATTGTCTCTGTCACCCCAGCAGATAGTCCAGTTGTCCCTGTCACTCCAGCTGATAGTCCAGTTGTCCCTGTCACTCCAGCTGATGGTCCAGTTTTCCCTGTTGCTTCAGCTGATAGTCCATTTGTACCTGTCACCCCAGCTGATGATCCAATTGTCTCTGTCACCCCAGCTGAGAGTCCAGCTATCCCTGTCACCCCAGCTGATAGTCCAGTTGTCCCTGTCACCCCAGCTGATAGTCCAGTTATCTCTGTTGCTTCAGCTGATAGTCCAGTTGTCCCTGTTACTCCGGCTGATACTGTAGTTGTCCCTGTCACTCCAGCTGATGGTCCAGTTATCCCTGTCACCCCAGCTGAGAGTCCAGCTATCCCTGTCACCCCAGCTGATAGTCCAGTTGTCCCTGTCACACCAGCTGATGGTCCAGTTGTCCCTGTTACTCCAACAGATTGTCCAGTTGTCGCTGTCACCCCAGCTGATAGTACAGTTGACCCTGTCACACCAGCTGATGGTCCAGTTGTCCCTGTCACTCCAGCTGATAGTCCAGTTATCTCTGTCACCCCAGCTGATGATCCAATTGTCCCTGTCACCCCAGCTGATAGTCCAATTGTTTCTGTCACTCCAGCAGATAGTCCAGTTGTCTCTGTCACCCCAGCTGATGGTAGAGTTATCCCTGTTGCTTCAGCTGATAGTCCAATTGTCCCTGTTACTCCAGCTGATACTGTGGTTGTCCCTGTCACTCCAGCTGATGGTCTAGTTATCCCTGTCACCGCAGCTGAGTGTCCAGCTATCCCTGTCACCCCAGTTGATAGTCCAGTTGTCCCTGTCACCTCAGCTGATAGTCCACTTATCCCTGTCACCACAGCTGATAGCCGAGCTGTCCCTGTCACTCCAGCTGGTGATCCAATTGTCCCTGTCACCCCAGCTGATACTCCAGGTAGCCCTGTCGCTTCAGCTGATGGGCCAGTTGTCCCTGTCACTCCAGCTGATGGTCCAGTTGTGCCTGTCACCCCAGCTGATGATCCAGTTGTCCCTGTCACTTCAGCTGATGGTCCAGTTGTCTCCATCACTCCAGCTGATAGCCCAGTTTTCCCTGTCACTTCTGCTGATGGTCCAGTTTTCTCTGTCACCTCAGCTGATAGTTCAGTTGTCCCTGTCACTTCTGCTGATAGTTCAGTTTTCCCTGTCACTACAGCTGATGGTCCAGTTGTCCCTGTCACTCCAGCTAATGATCCAGTTGTCCTTGTCACTTCTGCTGATAGTCCAGTTGCCCCTGTCTCTTCAGCTGATGGTCCAATTGTCCCTGTGACTCCAGCTGATAGTCTAGTTGTCTCTGTCACCACAGCTGATGATCCAATTGTCCCTGTCACCCCAGCTGATAGTCCAGTACTCTCTGTCACCCTAGCTGATAGTCCAGTTGTCCCTGTCATCCCAGCTGATAGTCCAGTTGTCCCTGTCACTTCAGCTGATAGTCCATTTGTACCTGCTATTCCAGCTGATGGTCCAGTTGTCCCTGTCACTCCTGCTGATAGTCCAGTTGTCTCTGTCACCACAGCTGATGATCTAATTGTCCCTGTCACCCCAGCTGATAGTCCAGTTGTCCCTGTCACCCCAGCTGATAGTCCAGTTGTCCCTGTCACTCCAGCTGATGGTCCAGTTGTCCCTGTTGCTTCAGCTGATAGTGCATTTGTACCTGTCACCCCAGCTGATGATCCAATTGTCCCTGTCACCCCAGCTGAGAGTCCACCTATCCCTGTCACCCCAGCTGATAGTCCAGTTGTCCCTGTCACCTCACCTGATAGTCCACTTATCCCTGTCACCACAGCTGATGGCCAAGTTGTCCCTCTCACTGCAGCTGGTGATCCAATTGTCCCTGTCAACCCAGCTGATACTCCAGGTAGCCCTGTCACTTCAGCTGATGGGCCAGTTGTTCCTGTCACTTCAACTGATAGTACACTTGTCCCTGTCACTCCACCCGATGGTCCAGTTGTCCCTGTGACTTCAGCTGATGGTCCAGTTGCCCCTGTCTCTTCAGCTGATGGTCCAGTGGTCCCTGTCACTCCTGCTGATAGTCCCTTTATCCCTGTCACCACAGCCGATGATCCAATTGTCCCTGTCACCCCAGGTGATAGTCCAGTACTCTCTGTCACCCCAGCTGATTGTCCAGTTGTCTCTGTCACCCCAGCTGATAGTCCAGTTGTCCCTGTCACCCCAGCTGATAGTCCAGTTGTCCCTGTCACTCCAGCTAATGGTCCAGCTGTCCCTGTCACTTCAGCTGATAGTCCATTTGTACCTGTTATTCCAGCTGATAGTCCAGTTGTCCCTGTCACCACAGCTGATGATCCAATTGTCCCTGTCACCCCAGCTGATAGCCCAGTTGTCCCTGTCACTTCAGCTAATGATCCAGTTGTCCCTGTCACTTCTGCTGATAGTCCAGTTGCCCCTGTCTCTTCAGCTGATGGTCCAATTGTCCCTGTGACTCCAGATGAAAGTCTAGTTGTCTCTGTCACCACAGCTGATGATCCAATTGTCCCTGTCACCCCAGCTGATAGTCCAGTACTCTCTGTCACCCTAGCTGATAGTCCAGTTGTCCCTGTCACCCCAGCTGATAGTCCATTTGTACCTGCTATTCCAGCTGATGGTCCAGTTGTCCCTGTCACCCCAGCTGATAGTCCTGTTGTCCCTGTAACTCCAGCTGATGGTCCGGTTGTCTCTGTTGCTTCAGCTGATAGTCCATTTGTACCTGTCACCCCAGCTGATGATCCAATTGTCTCTGTCACCCCAGCTGATAGTCCAGTTGTCCCTGTCACCTCAGCTGATAGTCCACTTATCCCTGTCACCACAGCTGATGGCCGAGTTGTCCCTGTCACTGCAGCTGGTGATCCAATTGTCCCTGTCACCCCAGCTGATACTCCAGGTAGCCCTGTCACTTCAGCTGATGGGCCAGTTGTTCCTGTCACTTCAGCTGATATTCCACTTGTCCCTGTCACTCCACCTGATGGTCCAGTTGTCCCTGTGACTTCAGCTGATGGTCCAGTTGCCCCTGTCTCTTCAGCTGATGGTCCAGTGGTCCCTGTCACTCCTGCTGATAGTCCATTTATACCTGTCACCACAGCTGATGATCTAATTGTCCCTGTCACCCCAGCTGATAGTCCAGTACTCTCTGTTACCCCAGCTGAGAGTCCAGCTATCCCTGTCACCCCAGCTGATAGTCCAATTGTCCCTGTCACTCCAGCTAATGGTCCAGTTGTCCCTGTCACTTCAGCTGATAGTCCATTTGTACCTGTTATTCCAGCTGATGGTCCAGTTGTCCCTGTCACTCCTGCTGATAGTCCAGTTGTCCCTGTCACCCCAGCTGATAGTCCTGTACTCTCTGTCACCCTAGCTGATAGTCCAGCTGTCCCTGTCACCCCAGCTGATAGTCCAGTTGTCCCTGTCACTCCAGCTGATGGTCCAGTTGTCCCTGTTGCTTCAGCTGATAGTCCATTTGTACCTGTCACCCCAGCTGATGATCCAATTGTCTCTGTCACCCCAGCTGAGAGTCCAGCTATCCCTGTCACCCAAGCTGATAGTCCAGTTGTCCCTGTCACCTCAGCTGATAGGCCAGTTATCCCTGTCACCACAGCTGATGGCCGAATTGTCCCTGTCACTGCAGCTGGTGATCCAATTGTCCCTGTCACCCCAGCTGATACTCCAGGTAGCCCTGTCACTTCAGCTGATGGGCCAGTTGTTCCTGTCACTTCAGCTGATAGTCCATTTGTCCCTGTCACTCCACCTGATGGTCCAGTTGTCCCTGTGACTTCAGCTGATGGTCCAGTTGCCCCTGTCTCTTCAGCTGATGGTCCAGTTGTCCCTGTGACTTCAGCTGATGGTCCAGTTGCCCCTGTCTCTTCAGCTGATGGTCCAGTTGTCCCTGTCACTCCTGCTGATAGTCCATTTATACCTGTCACCACAGCTGATGATCCAATAGTCCCTGTCACCCCAGCTGACAGTCCAGTTGTCCCTGTCACCCCAGCTGATATTCCAGTTGTCCCTGTCACTCCAGCTAATGGTCCAGTTATCCATGTCACTTCAGCTGATTGTCCATTTGTACCTGTTATTCCTGCTGATGGTCTGGTTGCCCTTGATTCTTCAACCGATGTTCTAGTTGTTCCTGTTTCTCCAACTGATGGTGTACTTGTCCCTGATCTTGCAGATGATCCAGTTGTCTCTGTCACTATAGCTGATAGCCCAGTTATCCCAGTCACTCCAGCTGATAGTACAGTTGTCCCTGTCACCCTAGCTGATGGTCCAGTTGTCCCTGTCACTTCAGTTGATATTCCAGTTGTCCCTGTCACTCCAGCTAATGGTCCAGTTGCCCCTGTCACCCCAGTTGATGATCCAGTTGTCTCTGTCAACCCAGCTGATGGTTCAGTTGTCCCTGTCACTTCAGCTGATTGTCCAGTTGTCCCTGTCACTCCAGCTGATGGTCTGGTTGTCCCTGTCACCCCAGCTGATAGTCCAATTGTCCCTGTCACCCCAGCTGATAGTCCAGTTGTCCTTGTCACCTCAGCTGATAGTCCAGTTATCCCTGTCACCCCAGCTGATAGTCCAGTTGTCCCTGTCACCTCAGCTGATAGTCCAGTTATCCCTGTCACCACAGCTGATAGCTGAGTTGTCCCTGTCACTCCAGCTGGTGATCCAATTGTCCCTGTCACCTCAGCTGATTCTCCAGGTAGCCCTGTTACTTCAGCTGATGGGCCAGTTGTCCCTGTCACTTCAGCTGATAGTCTACCTGTCCCTGTCACCCCAGCTGATGGTCCAGTTGTCTCTGTCACTTCGGCTGATGGTCCAGTTGCCCCTGTCTCTTCAGCTGATGGTCCAGTTGTCCCTGTGACTCCAGCTGATAGTCCAGTTGTCCCTGTTACCACAGCTGATGATCCAACTGTTCCTGTCACCCCAGCTGATAGTCCAGTTGTCCCTGTCCCTCCAGCTAATGGTCCAATTGTCCGTCACTTCAGCTGATAGTCCATTTGTACCCGTTATTCCAGCTGATGGTCTAGTTGTCCTTGATTCTTCAACTGATGTTCTAGTTGTTCCTGTTTCTCCAACTGATGGGATACTTGTCCCTGATCTTGCGGATGATCCAGTTGTCTCTGTCACTATAGCTGATAGCCCAGTTATCCCAGTCACTCCAGCTGATAGTCCAGTAGTCCTTGTCACCCCAGCTGATGGTCCAGTTGTTCCTGTCACTTCAGTTGACAATCCAGTTGTCCCTGTCACTCCAGCTGATAATCCAGTTATCCCTGTCACCCCAGTTGATGATCCAGTTGTCCCTGTCACCCCAGGTGATGATCCAATTGTCCCTGTCGCTTCAGCTGATAGTCCAATTGTCTCTGTCACTCCAGCAGATAGTCCAGTTTTCCCTGTCACCCCAGCCGATAGTCCAGTTATCCCTGTTGCTTCAGCTGATAGTCCACTTGTCCCTGTTACTCCAGCTGATATGGTAGTTGTCCCTGTTATTCCAGCTGATGGTCCAGTTATCCCTGTCACGCCAGCTGAGAGTCCAGCTATCCCTGTCACCCCAACTGATAGTCCAGTTGTCCCTGTCACCTCAGCTGATAGTCCAGTCATTCCTGTCACAGCTGATAGTCCATTTGTCCCTGTCACTCCAGCTGATAGTCCAGTTATCCCTGTCACTCCACCTGATGATCTAGTTGTCCCTGTCACTCCGACAGATTGTCCAGTTGTCCCTGTCACTTTAGCTGACTGTCCAGTTGTCTCTGTCACCCCAGCTAATAGTCCAGTTGACCCTGTCACACCAGCTGATGGTCCAGTTGTCCCTGTCACTCCAGCTGATAGTCCAGTTATCCCTGTTACCCCAGCTGATGATCTAATTGTCCCTGTCACCCCAGCTGATAGTCTAATTGTCTCTGTCACCCCAGCAGATAGTCCAGTTGTCCCTGTCACCCCAGCTGATAGTCCAGTTATCTCTGTTGCTTCAGCTGATAGTCCAGTTGTCCCTGTTACTCCAGCTGATACTGTAGTTGTCCCTGTCACTCCAGCTGATGGTCCAGTTATCCCTGTCACCCCAGCTGAGAGTCCAGCTATCCCTGTCACCCCAGCTGATAGTCCAGTTGTCCCTGTCACCCCAGCTGATGATCCAGTTGTCCCTGTCACCCCAGCTGATAGTCCAATTGTCCCTGTCCCTCCAGCTAGTGATCCAGTTGTCCCTGTCACCCCAGCTGATACTCCAGGTAGCCCTGTAGCTTCAGCTGATGGGCCAGTTGTCCCTGTCACTTCAGCTGATAGTCCACTTGTCCCTGTCACTCCAGGTGATAGTCCAGTTGTCCCCGTCACTCCAGCTGATAGTCCAGTTTTCCCTGTTACTTCTGCTGATGGTCCAGTTTTTCCTGTCACTCTTGCTGATGATCCAGTTTTCCCTGTCACCCCAGCTGATGATCCAATTTTCCCTGTCTCCCCAGCTGATAGTCCAGTTGTCCCTGTCACCCCGGCTAATATTCCAGTTGTCCCTGTCCCTCCAGCTAATGGTTCAGTTGTCCCTGTCACTTCAGCTGGTAGTCCATTTGTACCCATTATTCCAGCTGATGGTCTAGTTGTCCTTGATTCTTCAACTGATGTGCTAGTTGTTCTTGTTTCTCCAACTGATGGTATACCTGTCCCTGATCTTGCAGATGATCCAGTTGTCTCTGTCACTACATCTGATAGCCCAGTTATCCCAGTCACTCCAACTGATAGTCCAGTTGTCCCTGTCGCCCCAGCTGATGGTCCAGTTGTCCCTGTCACTTCAGTTGACAGTCCAGTTGTCCCTGTCACTCCAGCTGATAGTCCAGTTATCCCTGTCACTCCAGCTGATAGTCTTGTTGTCCCTGCCACTCCAGCTGATGATCCAGTTGTCTCTGTCACCCCAGCTGATGGTCCAGTTGTCCCTGTCACCACAGCTGATATTCCAGTTATCTCTGTCACTTCAGCTGATAGTCCTGTTGTCCCTGTTACCCCAGCTGATGGTCTAGTTGTCCCTGTCACTTCAGCTGATAGTGTAGTTGTCCCTGCCACTCCAGCTGATTGTCCACTTGTCCCTGTCGACCCAGCTGATAGTCCAATTGTCCTTTTCACCCCATATGATAATCCAGTTGTTTCTGTCACTTCAGATGATAGTCCAGTTTTCCCTGTCACTCCAGCTGATAGTTCAGTTGTCCCTGTAACCCCAGCTGGTGTTCCAGTTGTACCTGTTACTCCAGGTGATGGTCCAGTTGTCCCTGTCACTCCAGCTGATAGTCTAGTTGTCCCTGTCACTTCAGCTGACAGTCCAGTTTTCCCTGTCACCCCAGCTGATAGTCCTGTTTTCCCTGTTAGCCCAGCTGATGATCTTGTTGTCCTTGTCACTCCAGGTGATAGTCCAGTTGTCCCTGTCTCTCCAGCTGACAGTCCAGTTGTCCTTGTCACTCCAGCTGATGGTCCAGTTGTCCCTGTCACTCCAGCTAATGGTCCAGTTGTCCCTGTCACTTCAGCTGATAGTCCATTTGTACCTGTTATTCCAGCTGATGGTCTAGTTGTCCTTGATTCTTCAACTGATGTTCTAGTCGTTCCTGTTTTTCCAACTGATGGTATACTTGTCCCTGATCTTGCAGATGATCCAGTTGTCCCTGTCACTCCAGGTGATGATCCAGTTGTCCCTGTCACTCCAGGTGATGATCCAGTTATCCCTGTCACTCCAGCTGATGATGGTCCATTTGTACCTGTCACTCCAGCTGTTGGTCCAGTAGTCCCTGACCTTACAGCTGATGATTCAGTTGTCCCTGATTCTTTAACTGACGATCCAGTTATTTCTGTTTGTCCAGATGATGGTCTAGTGGTCCCTGATACTGTAAGAGATTGTACAGTTGTCCCTGATACTGCAGCTGATGATCCAGTTGTCTGAGTCACTGTAGGTGATTGCCGAGGTGTCACTGTCACTCCAGCTGATGGACCAGAGGTTTCTGTGTATCCTGTAACTGGCCCTGTTGTCACTGATTCTGCAGCTGATTGTCCAGTTGTCTCTGTTCCTCTAACTGATGGACTTGTTGTACTATGTCCTCCAGATGAAGTTCCAGCTGTCCATGATTCTGTAACTAATGGTCTGGTTGTTCCTGATCCAGTAATAGATGGTCCAGTTTTCTCTAATCCTTCAGTTGATGGTCCAATTGTCCCTGTAGCTTCAGCTGATAATCCAGTTGTTCCTGATCCTATAAGAGCTTTTCCAGTTGTCCCTAAGCCATCAACATTTAGTCCTGTTGTTACTAGCACTCCAGCTGATTGGATAGATGTCATTGTGACTCCAGCTGATTGTGCAGATGTCCCTGTCAATCCAGTAAATGGTCCTGTTGTCCCTGATCTTTCAGGTGATTGTCCAGTGGTCCCTGTTCCTCCAACTGACGATATAGTTGTACTTAATCCTCCAGATGTAGTTTTTGCAGTTGTCTCTACTCCTGTAACAGATGGTCCAGTTGTCACTGATCCTGCAACAGATGGTTTAATGGTTCCTGTTACTCCAGCCAATGGTTCAGTTGCCCCAGTCACTCTATCTGAGTATCCAGATGTAACTGTCACTCCAGCTGATGGTACAGTTGTCTCTCCTACAATAGGTGGTCCAGTTGTCCCTGATCCTTCAGCTGATAGTTCAGTAGTCTCTAATCCTACAACAGATGGTCTAATTGTCCCTAATCCTTTACTTGCTGGTCCAGTTGTTCCTGTCACTCCTACTGATGGTCCACTTGCCCCAGTCATTCTAGCTGATTGTCCGGATGTCACTGTCACTCCAGCTGATGGTCCAGTTGTCTGTGCTTTTACAACAGGAGGTCCAGTTTTTCCTGATCCTACAGCTGAAGGTCTAGTTGTCTCTAATCCTACAGTAGATGATCCAGTTGTCACTAATCCTTCAACAAAAGGACTTGTTAGTGCCACTCCAGCTGATTGTGCAGATGTCCCAGTCATTCCAGCTGATTGCCCAGATGTTCTTGTCAACCTAGTAAATGATTCTGTTGTCCCTGATTTTACAGCTGATTGGCCAGTTGTCTCTGTTTCTCCACCTGATGATCTTGTTGCACCTGATCCTCCTGATGAAGTTCCAGTTGTCCTCGTTCCTATAACAGATGGTCCAGTTGTCCCTGATTTGACAACAGATGGTCTTGTTGTTTCTGTAACTCCAGCTGGTGCTCCAGTTGTCCCAGTCTTTCTAACTGATTGTCCAGATGTCACTGTCACTCCAGCTGATAGTCCAGTTGTTCCTGATCCTTCATCTGATGGTCCAGTTGTTGCTGATTCTCTTGATGATGATGGCCTTGTCCCTGTCACTCCAGCTGATGACTCAGTTGTACCTGATTCACCAGCTAATGGTCTAGTTGTTCCTGATCCCACAACAGATGGTCCAGTTGCCCCTGATCCTTCAGTTGATGGTCCAGTTGTTCCTGTCACTCCAGCTGATGCTCCAACTGTTTCAGTCACTCTGGCTGATTGTCCAGATGTCACTGTTACTCCACCTGATGGTCTAGTTGTCTCTGATTCTAAAAGAGGTGGTCCAGTTGTGACTGGTCTTTCAACAAATGATCCTGTTATCACTGCAACTCCAGCTGATTTTTCAGATGTCACTGTTACTCCAGCTGATTTTGAAGATGTCCCAGTCACTCCAGCCAATTGCCCAGATGTTCCTGTCAATCCAGAAAGTCCAGTTGTTTCTGATCTTGCAGTTGATTTTCTGGTTGTCCCTGTTGTTCCATCTGATGATCTTGTTGTACTTGAACCTCCAGATAAAGTTCCAGTTGTCCCTGATCCTATATCTAATGGTCTAGTTGTTTCTGATCCAATAACAAATAATACAGCTGCAACTGATCCTTCAGTTGATGGTTCAGTTGTTCCTGTCTCTCCAGCTGATGGTCCAGTTGCCCCAGTCACTCTGGCTGATTGTCCAGATGTCACTATCACTCCAGCTGATGATTCAGTTGTTTCTGATTCTAAAATACGTGGTTGAGTTGTAGCTGATCCTTCAACCAACAGTCCTGTTGTCATTGCCACTCCAGGTGATTTTTCAGGTGTTGTCACTCCAGCTGAATTTGAAGATGTCCCAGTCACTGTAGCAGATTGCCCAAATGTTCCTGTCAATCCAAAAAGTGGTCCAGTTGTTTCTGATCTTGCAGTTGATTGTCCAGTTGTCCCCATTCCTCCACCTGATGATCTTGTTGCACCTGAACCTCCAGATGAAGTTCCAGTTGTCCCTGATCCTATAACTGATAGTCTAGTTGTTTCTGATCCAATGACAGATGGTCCAGTTGCCTCTGATCCTTCCATTGATGGTATAGTTGTCCCTGTTGTTTCACCTAGTGGTCTACTTGTACTTGATTCTGTAGCTGATGGTTCAATTCTTCCTGATACTTCAGCTGATGTTCCAGTTACACCTGCCACTCTAGCTGATGGTTCAGTTGTTCCTGATTCTGCACCTGATTGTCCAGTTGTCCCAGTTCTTCCAACTGATGGTTTTGTTGTGCTTGATCTTCTGGTTGATGGTGCAGTTGTTCCTAATCCTGCAGATGTTGGTCCAGTTGTCCCTGATCCTACAACAGATGGTCCTGATTCTATAAAAGATTTTCCAGTTGTCCCTGATCCTTGGCCTGATTGTCCAGTTGTTCCTGTCACTAGAACAGATGGTCCTGTTGTCCTGGATTCTTCAGCTGATGGTGTAGTTGTTCCTGTCACTCCAGGTGATGATTCAGTTGCTCTTGTCACTCCAACTGATAATCTAGTTGTCCCTGATCTCACAACAGATGGTCCAGTTGTTCCTGACCCGTCAGCTGATGGTCCAGTTGTCCTTGTTTCTCTAGCAGATGATCTACTTGTACCTAATCCTCCAGTAAAAGACACAGTTGTCCCTAATTCTGTAGCTGATAATCCAGTTGCTCTTGATCCTGTAACCGATTGTCCACTTGTCCCTGAACCTTCAGCTAATGGTCTAGTTGTCACTGATTCTCTTGATGAAGGTCCAGTTGTCCCTGATCCTTCAGCTGATGATCCAGTTGTCCTTAACCCTGAAACTAATGGTCTGGTTGTCCCTGATATTTCAGCTAATGGTCCAGTTGTCCCTGATACTCCAACTGATGGTTCAGATGCCACCGTGACTCCTGACGATTGTTCAGAAGTCCTTGTCACTGCAACTGATGGTCCAGATGTTGTATCTGATTGCCCCATTGTCCCTGAAACATCAGATGATGATTTAATTGTCCCTGGTATTTCAGATGATTGTCCATAATTCCCTGTTACTTTAGCTGATGGTCCACTTGTGTCTGTCTGTCCGGTCGATGATCCTGTTGCCCCTGTCACAAACACATAGTAAAAGCAGAATGATATTAATAGCTGTTTTGGTCCTTGGTTAACCTTTAAGACTCATGAGGCTTTATTTCTCTAGTACAGCTTTTATACCTCTTCATCTCCATAACCACCATATTATTTCATACTTGTCTTTTTGCTACATTGTAACTTCTTTTTAAAAAAAGAGTCTCACTTTGTTGCCCAGGCTGATCACAAACTCCTGGGTTCAAGTAATCTTCCTGAGTACCTGGGACCACAGTGATCTTCACTGTGCCAGCTCTAGCGTAACTTCTTTCTGTTTGTTTATTTTCATAAAAATCATTTATCTAATGTCTATTGTGTGTCAAAGAAGTTGTCAGCAACTTACAGGTATCACTTCATTTTACCATTAGATTAATACTATGAGATATATAATATTTCTTTTCTCTTTTATAAAATAGAAACTAAAGCGAGATTAAGTAGCTGTTCAAAGGGGATGCAGATAAACAGTTCTCTGCTCCGTGGGGCATTCTAGTGGGAAGAGAGAGGTAGACATAAATAAAATAACTAGCCAACCAATAACCAAATTCACAAACAAGAAAAGCTTCAGAGCATTAATATAAAGTGAATTGATACTACAAAATGGGATGTTCTATTTTAGACTGTCTGGTTAGCAAAGGCTTCTGTGAGAAGATGGTCTTTATTCTGAAGTCTGATAACAAGAAGCAACCTGCTAGTGAAGCTCTAGGAGAATGGCATTCCAGGCAGAGGTAACAGCCAGTACAAAGGTCGTAAGTCTGATGGAGCTATGCTTGCTAGAAAAGCAGAGCTAGAAGTTGAGTATATCTGGATAATGGGAGCTGAGGCGGGGAATATTATAAGGTAAGGTCAGATATGTAGGAGCAAGCGAAATGTTATGAATCAGGGGAGGAAGACTGAAGGTTTTTCTAAATGCAAGGGGCTATAATTTTAAAGAGGGGAGAAATAGCATAGAATTGATATACATTTAAAATCCCTCTTTACACTCTGTAGAAAATATATGGCAGGGGGTGCATCATAGAATTAGGAAGAACAATTATGAGGTGATTTCAGAAGTTCTGACAATTTATGAGTGGCTTGTGCTGAAACTGTGATAAAGGAGACTGAGAATAGTGGATAGGGTCAAGATATGTGTTGGAAGTAGCAGTAACAGGCCTTGTTTAGATATGAGAGGTACAAAAAAAAAGAGAGCCATCAAGGATAACTACAATATTTTTACCTGAGTGAATTGAGTCAGTGATGGTAACATTTTCTAATATGGGGAAGACTCAGAGAACAGATGTGAGCATAAAGGGAAATCCAGTATCACCCAGAAGGCTCTGGTTCTGAAGATCCTAATATATCAAGAATACCACTAAGGAACCAGATGAAGATGGAAACCTTGGATCTGTAGAGACATGGATCTGCACAGTGGTGTGTCTATGTGTGTATGGGTACATGTTTCGAGTGAAACTCCACTACTTGGGTAGAGCAGAAAAGAGTTCACTACCCCCTGACAGCTCCAATCCTTCCAGAAGTTTCCCTTCCATGTGACCTGTTATTTTACCTCACTGATAAGAATAAAACCACTTCATCCTTTACCAGACTGGGAATTACTATTCACTTATTGAATTATTTACCAGATATCCACCAGATATTTATCAAGTACCCAAACCAGGAACTGAGCTATGCACTAGGAACACAACTGTAAACAAAAATAGGCAACGTGACAAGATCTTTCTCTAGTTTTAACAGAAATCCACCATGTTGGTGGTCTGTCTAGTAAAAGATAATGACTGGATGAAGAATCAACAATCCAGGCCCTGACCTGGCCTAACAACATACTTATCCTGTGATTTTGGGGTAAACACATGGATTTTTTCATAGATAAAATGTGAATAATTACTAATATATTATTGACTGCATAGGGTGTCTGTAAGATTCAAGTAAGTTAATATATGTGAAAACATTTGTCCATTTTATACTTTGTATAGTTGTTTTCTGATGATCATTTTTACTTTTGTTAAAACAGATTAAGATAACTTATACATGATATTATATAATGGTTAATGACTGCTTCATATGTTTATATTATAAATAATATTGTATTAAATATATCCAGTAGAAACTAAGATATAAGAATGGTTTTATCTACTAATTTTTATCCTACTAATTATATTTTTCAGGCACTTTTTTGGCTTATTTTCTGAGAAGTATTCAAATATTAATAAATAAATTGATTCGTAATCTATCTCTTTGGTCATTTGAAGCAAGTTAAGTCTTACAAGACACAAACATTGTTTAGCAAGGGATCTGCAACACCCATTGCATAGTTTACATATTTCCTCAACAGGTCAGCTTTGAGCAAATGAGTTATAGACAAACCCTACTTGCAAATTCTAGAAAAGAAGACTTTTTAAAAACCCATGTGTAGAGGTTTTAGGAAGAAAACTGATTTCTGAATGTTTCAACAATTCAGAAGACAGTGTTGCTTATTAAATTGTTCTTAGAAATGGGGAAAGCTGTTCATCAAGGTTCTAGGTCTCTGTTCAATAAAGAGCATATGGGAAAATAGGCTAATACTTTAAACCACAACAATTTCAAATACTAAAGACAGTGGTGTTTTGCAAAAGATTGCAAAAAAAGAATTCTAGTTTGAAATTTGAATATTCTTGCTGATGTAAGGTAACCTTATAATGCCCAACAGCATATTATATTATTCGTGGCAGAGAAGAATTTATTGAATTCTCAAATGTTTGTACTATGGGAAAATCATATAATTAATTAATGATCTGCAAAAATAACTAACATATTATTTTGTAATTATTTAGTATTTTAGCCTATATTGAATTATGTTAGCTTGTTGTCTAAATGATTTTGTGTGGAAAAATGCAGAACTTAGACAATGAAATTGTAACTAAATGAGCAAATACATCCTAAGAAGCCCTTAACTCCAAAACAATAATTATGGACCAACCATGAGATAAAGTGTTAGAGGGTCACTATTGCTTTTTTTTTTTAAAACTTAACTCCATTATGGTTGTATCAAGTAACATTCCAGTGATTTCTAAATTGGCCATGTGACAATATCAGATTTAAAATGCTGCACTAGTCTAGTTTAATAATGGAAAATATCTAAATTATCAGATCATTTTTATTATATGTGATTTCAGGTATTGCACTAATTGATATCCCAATAGTGCATAAATACTGAATAACAAAGCATACAATGGCAACCTCTTTAAAGGATTCACAGAATATTTAAATAACAGTGCTCTAAGTTTCAAGCAGGAAAGATTTTCAACTGAATTAATACCCTACTGAATAAGCTTTTATAAACAAATTTCTACACTGACTCCCATTTTTGTGACCTTTTAGTGCTTTGCTAATCTCACCTGGTGTATTTGAAGCGCCCGTGCTGGTGCCACTGCTGGACCATCCAGATGTAATTTTGCCTCCACTAGTTGCACCACCTGGTGTTCCAGGTGTACCTGTGGCAAAGGCAAAAATGGAAAGGACGCATTCACAGAATTTCTTAAGCTATGATATAACCAATTCTCACTTAAATTAACTTCCACCTAAAAATTACAGAAATCTTCATTTTTCTGTATCGATAACAATAATGATCCTTTCCACATTTGAAAAATGTACTTTGACTTACACTATTCACTATTTTCTTGGCTCCTCATCCCAAGTTCACAAAATAGATCACTTTGACCCACATTTTACAGATACAAAAACAGAGGTTACAGAGGTTAAGTGATTTACTCGCTTAACAACATGACATTGATTCTGAGGAACAGTATTCACACGAACATCCCATATTGCCCCTTGGCAAGTGCAGGGTCTCCCATTTTACCTACCTGGTTTGCTTCCAGAGATTGTCACTGCTGTGGCTGAGGCTGCATCGGTGTGTTTACTCACAGGGCTACTGGTAGTTGAGGCAGCAGATACTGTTGGGGTCCCTGGTTATCAACAACAATGGTTCAGGCTCACTGCTGCAAATGTACTGGTCCCTATTCTGTGCTGATAGCACAGAACTGAGATTTCTAAAGTATAGTGGATTAAGGGCATCTCCCCTATGCTTTCCCTTTGTTCTGACACTTTTAATGTCAGTTATAGCCTGACCAATAGTCCACATCACACACTTCTGAGGAAGGCAGGGTTGAGAACTGTTAAGGAGTCATGTCCAGACTTGCCTGATTTTCCAAAACTGGTGTTTCCAATGTCTGCTTCCCCAGGGGTGCTGCTACCTGGAGCTCCAGGAGTTGCTCCAGGTGATACCACAGGTGTGCCTGAGACTTTCAGAGAAAACAAACAGTTTAAGAAACTCGCTTTTATTCAATCACTGTGACCTGAAACAACTTGGAAATCTCTTCCAGAATATTTATACTCATAGTTTCTTGCTCAGGAAGAGTATACATGTTAATCTGATAAGGCACTATTACCCCATCACAATCCTTATTTGCCTTCAACACTGAATGTGCCTCTTTCTAGAATTATCTACAAATTATAATTCCAGAGTAAATTCTTCTCCAAACTGCATTTACCATTTGCTGTATTACTTAACTTTTTGCTTTTTTCATGTGTTTAAATATTACTTTATTCTAAAAATTCTAAGCTTTGTAAATATAAGAGCATCTTCTGGCACCTAACACATTACTAAGCTCTCAATAAATACTGTCCGACCAAAATACAAGTGTTTGTGTTAGAGTAGGCAGATAGCCAGAAATGAGCAGGCAAGGGAGCCCCCTGGGAAAAGAAGTCCTGGAGACGCTGTCAACTCATAGTCAGTGCCGCCTTCTGACAGGCAGCAAAAAAAGACAACAGCTACACTGGCTACTTCTGGCCTTGTGATTGAGCTCCTCTTGCCTTGAAGGGGACTTACCAGGCCCCAGCTGGAGATAATCAGGTTAGGGACTTTCCTCACTGAGGAGCATGCACACTCCTCCAAAAAATTGTCCTGGAGTAGACTTTTGCTCATTATAAGAGTAAAAAGCACATCCCTGGGTGGAGATTTTAAATGCTAATGAGACATACAATGTGTGTACCAGCATGTACAACGACAGAGCATGCGCGCCCAAAGAGACATCCTGAAACATGCATGCAAGTAATACACCCCTCACGCCCCTTCATGAATAATCAGGTAAGATTCTCATAAAAGCAGTCCCCCAGCACTAGCTGCTGCTGGCTCATTCTTTTAAGCAGCCCACTCTGCCTTGTGTTTCAGAGTGTACTTCATATTTAAATAAACCCTGCTACTACTATTTTTTCAGCCCTACCAGCTCAGAACTGTTTTCCACTCCTCTCTAAGAATGTGCTTCATCTTCCTTCAATAAACTCTGCTACTTAATCCTTGCTATGCATCTCTTGGCTGAATTATTTCTTCCAAGTTAGAAAAGAATCGAGGATTCCCACACTTTTCGGTAACATTTGCATTTATCTATTTACAAGTACTGAATTCTTCATAATCTCTTTTGATAAATTAAATTTTGAAATCAGAGCTCACACTTCTGCTAATTAAACATAATTTTAGATATAAATAATATTCCAAATGTGACTTCACGGGAAGCTAAAGTGGTTGTGGCATCTGATCTTCCAGTTGTATCCAATTTGAAAAATAACGAGGTTCTGCCTATAGATTGTTGCCATGCTGCAAATGCTTTTTGACAAAAGTTCATTATTAAACATTACTGCTAGAATTTTCCTCATTCTCTTATAATTAACTTCTTTTTTTAAAACTCACTTGGACTTATGCTAATTATATATAAGACCTTTGTGTTTGACCATTGCTCTGACAACTAGATGTGCTTTGTCTTACCTGCTGTGTTACCAGGGCCAGTGTCCCCAGTACCTGATGTTCCAGCTGTGTTTCCACTGCCTGCGCTGGTGGTGGCTTCCACAGACCCTTCTGTTGAACCTGGTCAACATACAAAGGCAGCTAGGATTACATTAATTTCCAAAGTTTCTAGGAAATTAAGGCAACTGTTAAACATTCTTAGACATCCCCATTATTTATCCTTTTGTCTGAGTATTTCAATAGCTTTGTTTCTGATCAGTGTAATTGATTTGAGTGAATAAGCTTCTGTGATTATTTAGCCATTTACTCGATACTAAATCCCAACTCACTGCCTAGCATCCCAGTCATTCTTCCTGCCAGTGTTGTCAATTCACCTGATATTCTGGTTGTTCCTGTTTCATTTTGTTTTGTTTTGAAGAAGAGGGAGGAGGAGGAAGAGGAGGGGGAGGAAGAGGAGGATAAAAGTAATATGATAAAATTTGTTAAACTCAACTTGGTTATTTATGATGTTTCCATGGCTACTTTCACCACCCAAATTCATGTCTTCCTTCCTCCTACCTAAAATATTGCAATTGTTTCCTCTTTATCCAATTAACAGGTCAATATTCTTCATCACAAATATATTCTCTGTTCGAGAATATTGAATGATAGTAATTCTTCAACATTAATGTGTGTAAGAATCATCTGGTGAGCCTATTAAAAATGCAAATTCCCTATCTTTCCAAGCAGAAATTCTAATTCTATTTTATAACATTGAAGAGGTTGGTCTTGTATTGCAATTAAACTCCTATATTCACTTTCAGTTTGCAGAGCATCCAGAGGATGAAAGAATAAGTTAATTGACATCATGGAGAATAGCTAAATTTAGAATATCTAGAAAGGGATATAAGAACTTGATTAGTTTCAGGTTCATCATTTTGGGCAGGAATAATTTCTAGGTGATATATCACAAAAGGAGACACAAAACATCAAGTCCCCACTATCAGTGATGCTATGTTTGATCACTAGGTTTAGGTGGTGACAACCAGAACTCTCCAGTGTAAAGCATTTTTCAATTCTGCAATTAGCAAGTAATCTGTTGGGTGATACTTTGGCATCAAGCAAACATCCAAGTCCTAGTCAACCTTTCACTCAATGATTTCAGCATTTATTTATGCTCCTTGTCTATTTCATTCAGCATTTCAAAACAGTGATTTTTCCAATTGTGTCTTTTTTCAACATATATTAGTTGGAATTTTTCTTTAAAAAGAGAGATTTCTCTGATCAACTGGAACTATTCGAATATCTTGATCCATAGTTTCTAATAAAAATACTTGATAATTGATTAATTTTTCTCTTGAATTACCAATCTTCAGAATAAGGACTTGACATGATAGTCACCACTAACATTATCAAATGTTGCTGTGGTTGTTTCTTTTTATTAATTATCATTGGGGTCATGTATGTTTCAATATTATCAATGTGCCTCAATCTATTACAAATAATTTTTTCAGTGCTCAAAATTCTCCAAATTTGGCCAACAGGAACTCATGCAGTTTAGCACCCTTGTCATTTAGGCAGAGCTCCCTAAGTCTTTGAATGCTTCCTCATTTTCTGACTTAAGAAGTCCCAAGCTCACCTTGTACTTTTCTTGTCCAAGACCTAGAATTAACCATTTCTCCAAGCAACAGTGAACACAGAAATTTAGGAGCCCAAACTGGCTGACAAGGGGTGCACACTACTGTTAGGGTACCACTGCTTTTAGGCCATTTCAGTGGCCAGAGATGGAAGATATAAAGACAAATAAATATATAGATAATAAATGTATTATATTGGAAGATATAGATTTCCATATATTAGAAGTATATATATTTATACCTATATTTGAGTATATCACATATATTTGTAATAAGTTTGTATATATTTCTAATATACAAAAATATACATTTTCTATATATATCATATATTTAGATTTATATAAATGGTATATATAAGTTTATATATATATTTCTCACTCAAATGGAACATTACAGAAGAAATTTACTTTATTTGATTTCTTTTCTTTTTTTTTTTTTTTTTTTTTTTTTTTTTGGAGATAGGATCTCACTCCTTCTCCCAAATTGGATTGCAGTGGTGCAATCACTGCTCATTACAGCCTCGACTTCTGGGCTCAGGTGATTCCCCACTTCAACCTCCCAAGTAGCTGGGATACAGGCATGTGCCACCATGCGTAGCTAATCTTTTGTATTTTTTTTTTTTTTTGTAGAGATAGGGGTCTCACTGTGTTCCTAGGCTGCTCTTAAGCTCCTGGGCTCAAGCAGTCTGCTGGCCTCAGCCTCCCAAAGTACTGGGATCTCAGGCGTGAGCACTTCATCCAGCCGTGATTTAATTATTGTATTTCTTTTCTCTTACATTTAAAATCTTGATTTCTAATAACATTCATATAACTACTAATTGTTTTATTCTGTAATATATAAAAAACCATTTCAAAGTGAGAACACTCATGTAACTACTAAGAAGAAAATTACTGAATGAAGTTTAAAATTTCCTAGCAGTCTTTTTGCCATTAAAATACATGATACTAGCATATACTGTCTAATTACTGTGTGTTAAAGTCACGTGAAATAATTATTTTCTCCATGTGATTATAATTTGATATTCAATTAGGTTCACTTGTTTTGGTTGGTTTTCAGTTTTAGGTTTTGCTTTTTTTATTTTGATTTAATTGTGTTTTTAAAAATACTTATGACATTTTCCTTTTTGAAAGCCAAAATTATATTTAAAAGAATACTCAGAGAACTCAAAATTCTGCTGTTCTGATTTGTTTCCTATAAGTAATGATTTTCACTAGTTTTTAGTTTATCTTCTGTGTTTTTTGTATACATATTTGCATATGTATATATAATTCATATCCTTACAAAACATATATACATATATGTACACACACATACACACATCCCTCTTTTTTCATAAAGGTATAAATGGTATATACAATTCTGATTTGTTTTTTTCCTTTACAATAAATTCTGGAAATAACTAGATCAGTCCATAGAGATCTTTCTCACTCTTCTATTAGGATGGTCTAGTGCTGCTTTTTGTCATCTTTTATTCAATGTGTCTTTAATGAGTTGTTTCCAGGCTCTTTCTATAAAAAAACAATGCCGGTATGAAAAGCTTATACATATGTTATTTTATACTTTGGTCGTCTAGCTTCAGGAGCACTAAAAGCGGGATTTCTGGGTCAAAGGATAAACGAGTCTGTAATTCTGTTAGATTTTGCCAAGTTATCCTCCTCCGGGCTGTAACATTTTGTGCTCCCACCAGCAATGCGCAGAGCACCACCTGTTTCTTTCCAGAACTGTCAACAGGGCTGTTGTCACACTTTTGAATTTCTGCCAATCTAAAAAGTGAGAAATGTTATCTCAGTGTAGTTTTGATTTGCATTTTTCTTGTGTGAAGTTGACCATTTTCTCAGAGGTTTAAGAATCACTTATAGTTCTTTTTCTCTGTAATTCAATTCACATCTTCTATTATTCTAGTTTTTGATTTGCTCTATGCACTTTTTCCCTTTGCTGATTTTGCTTGGCATCCTTTTGTGCAATAAATCATAGCCACAAGTATGATTCTATACTGAGTCTTGTGAGTCCTTCTAGCAAGTCCCAAAACTTGAAGGGCTCTTGGGCACGCTGATATGGATTGCCTTCCCATTTGGTCAAAAATGTTTTTATGTCTTTAAGGAGAGTTTTAAAGTTTTCTTCATGTAAGTTTTATCTTGTTCAGATTATTCCAAGGTAATTTATCTTATTTGTTGTTTGCATAAATTGGAGTTTTCTCTTCAAATATATATTTTAACTTATTATTTGTATTTATGAAGACTTAATTTTTATAGATTAATCTTGTATCTTGGTACCTTATTAAATTATCTTACTGCTTATAGTTTTTCCATTGATTCTCTACAGTTCTGCAGGTACACTATTATATCATCTGTAAATAGAAATACTTTAATATTTTCTATTTCAAATTCCATGCTATCAATTGCTATATAATCCAATTTATTAATAACTCCAGAAACTGTTAAATAATAGTATGATTGCATATCTCCTTACCTTGTTCCTGAAGTTAGTGGAATAGGTTTAGAAATTCCTTATTAAGATGCTACACGTGTGGCTGAGGTATATGTACTTTATATTTATTTATTTATTTATTTTTGTGAGATGGAGTCTCACTCTGTTGCCCAGGTTGGAGTGCAGTGGTGCGATCTCAGCTCACTGTAACCTCCGCCTCCCAGGTTCAAGCAATTCTCCTGCCTCAGCCTCCCGAATAGGTGGGATTACAGGCACCCGCCACCATGCCCAACTAATTTTCGTATTTTTAGTAGAGACGGGGTTTTGCCATGTTGGCCAGGCTGGTCTCAAACTCCTGACCTCAAGTGATCCGCCTGCCTCGGCCTCCAAAAGTGCTTACAGGTGTGAGCCACCAAGTCTGGCCCTGTTTTAAGGAAGTATCCATTCATTCCTATTATTTTGAGTGGTCTTTTTTTCCCATCAGAAATGATTATTCAATGTTTATCAAATACCTTTTTAGCCTCTGTGGGTCGTTTTGTTTCCCTTAGATCTACTATTAATATTATGAATTACATTAAAAGATGCCTTAATTTTGAAAAAGTCACTAAAAATCAGTATTAATAAAAATAATCAAGCATTAGTTTCTTCCTGAATGCTCATTTTTCCTTTTTTGTAAACTGAAGCTTCTTGTACTTAGCTCATGAGATTTAAATAATTCGCTTGACTACTTACTACCTGTTATCTATGAGTACAGCAAGTCCAATTGTTTTTCAGAATACTTTGCATAATTGACTCTTCAGGATTAATTCTTCCAGGTATATGATAGGTTATTTCACTACATAGATTTAGGGGTTTTTTTCTAAATTCAGAATGTTTTTCCTTATTTATAATTTTAAATATTAGTTCTGTTTCATTGCTTTTTCTTCTCCAGATAAGGCAATAATATATCTTGGATACTTTTGTTTGTTTCCTAAAACTATATCATTCTCTAGCCCATTATACCTTTTCTGAAAGTGTCTGCAATATTTCAGGGGTAGGGTTTACCTCTTCTCAGCTCTATCCTCTAATATCCTTGCTGTATTTTCAGTTTTATTTATTCTCAATGGAACACCTTGCTATTTGGTCTTTTGAGATAATTTTTCTTTTTCTTCAATTTTCTCCTGGGTTTTCACCAATTCCAATTTAACATTCCTGCTGTTTATCTATTTCCAGTCTTAATTTTTAATCTGTAATTTTGATGTATCTTTGTAGCTGCGGTTGTTTCCTTAGTTATTTTACGTTAATGTTATGTTTTTGTATTCTTTTGCTTCATGACTAGATCTTTAGAATTTGCTTGCTATTGATGCAAAGTTTTTGAAAATGTATATAAAGGAATAGCTGTGTATCGATACTGGAATTTCTTTATTATTATTATTATTATTATTATTATTATTGTTTTGTGGGCCAGTAATAGCGGGAGATTCTACGCAGGGGGCAGCAGGGAGGCTTCAGTATACTTCCCAGATTTCTCAGATAAAGGGCTCCCCTCTTACGTTCTTACAGTGAGGGAGCTTCGTTTATAAGTGGCACGTTTTCCTTGTCTGTCTTCTGATGCTTTCATCACTATCTTGTTTTATTGAGACCCTTATTTTTCCATACCTATTTTTTTCCTTTGGCACCCAGGCTCCAAGGGTTGCTCCCCTGTCCAAAGACTTCCATGCATTCTCCAGTACTCTTCCAACTCCATTCATGAGGGCTCTCTGACCTGCCAGGTCCCAGATTTTCTCTCAGCATTTTCCACTCAAGTTGTGGGGCTTTCCTTTTGAGGCTCAACTCTAGTTGATTGAACCACTAGAATCATGGTATTCTACCACTATTAGGACCTCTCTATACTTCTCTATTTTCTGTGATGCCCTTACCTATATTTCAGCCCTATGGTGAGCCTCAGAGCCATCGTTCCCAGTTTTTGGAGTCTGGCTCTTCTCTGTCTCCTCTACACACCGTAGGTGTGGGCTCTGTTTTGATCTTTATGATTTGAAGAAAGAGGTATCTATAGACTCTAATTTATGCAGCCACTATTTTCCTGGTTTTTTTTTTTTTAATTTTTCCATTGGTTTCTTGAGCTTAAATCCTATTCGATTCTACTAGTGTCAGTGCAAATTAAGGATCAGGTTGATACTATGACTAATTAAATTACATTCTGCTTGTGATAAAAGGATTTTTAGTGTGTTTGAATATTTAACCAGGTCATCAGATATTTACAACAGAGATATAATATGTAAGAAATTAGGTTAAGGAAGGTTCTTCACAGATTCAGCTTACTCACTTGCTTCATTTCCAGAGACGAATTTAGGGTGAACTATGTGTAATAAATGGTGCTTTCAAGTCCTTCTACTTGAAGACTATAATCATTTATATTGAGAACATGTGTGTAGTAGGTCATACCTGCTTGGCTATATAATATAAAAGAGTGAAATATCTCTCTGACTTTGCAGTCTCTTAACAGACTGCCTCTGATGTGCATCATATTCTGTTTTAATGCTTATTCAATAATAAACCTATATTTTATTCTGTACTACCTTTGTGCAGGGGGTTCTGGATTCGAAGAACATTTTGTTTTTAATCCTCCTTCCCCAAAACCTGAATAACTACTTTTTATTCCCTTGCAGTTGGATAGATTCTTAAAATTTCACTCAGCTTCCTTGTATTTTGAGTTTTTGTTCAAGTTGAGGCATACAGACACAGCTTGTAGTGCACTGATTATAATACATTCTTTTCAAAATAGAATAATTCTGTTGTTTTAATCAAATTAATCAGTCACTTTACTAGAATTGCCTCTCAAGTCTTACTCCAATGCGTGTCATTGAACAATTCCTCCACTTTGATTATCTTTTGCCTTGCATGGTTTTGCTTTTGTGTGTATTATAAATATTAATTTCTTTTGCTCAGAAATGAAGTTCTATGAGAACAAATACCTTACTCAACTCCTCTTTTATGTTGTCTGTATCCCCCAGGATAATACTGAACACACAACAAATATTTCTTGATTTATTTCTGATCTTCTGCAGTTTTGACATTACACAAATAATAATAATTAAATTCCCCAGGAAAACTTGTCTCCGACAAAATTTTAATTTTGTAATTTAAAAAAAATTACACTTCTACTGTCTAGATTTATTCTGATTATGCTCTTTCCATACCCAATGCTCCAGAAGTGTTTTCACCAGCAGCTCCAGTGGTGGCTACATTTCCCCATTCAGTTGTTCCTAATTGAAAAGAGCAACAGTGCTCAGTCTGCATCAGAGTTTTCAAAATCATGAAATAAAAATACAGGGCACCCAGTTAAATATGAATCCAAGACAAACAATAAACACTGTGTTTTGATTATTGCATGGGACATACTCATTCTAAAAGAACTGTTCCTGATTTGTGTGAAATTCAAATTAACTGGTTTCCTATATTTTCTCTGGCAAGCCTAGTCTACATAAAAGGTTACAATGAAGTAACTCTTTGAACAAATTTCAGGGTTTCTTTAAAGAGGTAGGTGGTCTACTTAAACTATCCATGATCATTTGTTGTAAAATTACATCCCTTCTAAATTCACTTAAACTTATAAGAATCTGAAGTTCCAACTAGGTTTCTGACTCACCACCACTAAAGTGACCAGGTGAGCCCGGGCTTGGCCTGGTGAGTTTCCCAGGTGGACTGGAACCAGTGAAAGATGTTTTAGCTGTGATTTCACTGTCAGATCCAGCAGTAGATCCAAGAGACTGTCCTGTTACACCTGACAAACACAGTATTGGGAGTGCATATACATTATTGTGACAACCCAGTGCCATAGTAGTTTTGAAGGAAATATTTAGAGAAAGCATAAATTAAAACTTTTCTTGAAAAATGTTAATAAGTTATATACCATTCTATCTTTTGTTGGATGGCATTTATACTTAGTGAAATTTGCAGAGGTCTGATGAAATATTGTCCTTTTCACCAAAAGCCACAGCCTCGGAATGACATCCTCTACTCACCTGACATGCCTTCAGATGATGTCGCTTCACTGCTTGTGGCTCCAGTTTTTCCACCCACTGAGGGTCCAGTAGTTCCTTTCAAAATAGACAATAAATATGTATCATGATCTTTGATTTAGCAGAACATAGGGTGCTACTCTCTGCTTTCAAAATACCTTTTGTTTACACTTCTTCATTTCCAGAAATGGCTCATTCTTTCCAAAAATTGATCATAAGAATCGTATATGATTGTTGGCATCCCTCAGAGTGCTTATTTACTTATTCCTTGTAAATAAGCTTGTTTATTATTTACTTGTTCAATATTCAGATATTTGAACCTAGCGGTTCTCAACCCAGGTTGCATGTGGGACCCATGAGGCTTTTAAAAAATATTTAATGCCTGGTCCCTTCTTCCAGGGACAGATTCAATTAGTCTGTGAAGGATTCTTCAATATGTATTTTCAAACATTTCTCTAGTTGATTCTAATTTGTAGTTAGGATTGCAAACTATGACCCTAGCCCCACTCCAGACTCACAGACTCAGAAGTTCCAGCACAGGAACCTCTGTCTGAATCTGCATGGCCGATTACTACCTGCAATACCTGTGGTCAGTAACTGGGCTTCCTAACTCCAGTTCTTCTCATTCTTTACAGTGCTGCTAAATAAAGAAAATGTGGGCAGATCCACATGCTCCATTTTACTCCTGCACACTCACTGACTTTTCCCTTTTACTTACCTGATTTGCTGCTTTCAGAGCTTGTGGCTGAGGCTCCAGGGCTGGCAGTGATGGAGCCTGCAGAAACTCCTGTACTTCCTGAAACCAAGACAGGAGCAGGTATGCATGTTATTACTTCTGTTACTATGACTACTTGGAAGTTTCCAGAAAAAGGAAGTGAAAGAAACTATCCCTCCAACTTTCCTCAGCCCTGCATTCTAATACTAGTTCTAGCCTGAATTTACACAGCATCACTTAGTGTGGGAGGTATGGTTGGGAGCTTCTGAGACATTATGTCCAGCCTGGTTGATCTTACCAGAAACTGTGGCTCCAGGGCCTGCTTCTCCAGGGGTACTGCCACCTCCGACTGCAGGGGTTTCTCCAGATACCCTCGGTGTGCCTAATTTTTTATCATGGAAAAAAACAATGTCTGCTAAGAAAGTTAAATCCTTATAAAAGTGACCTAAAATATACATTTTTTTCCTTTAAAAAATGAATCTATCTCATAAATATCCTAAGTTCTTGTTCAAGGTAAATCAGATAAATCAGGAAACTCTGATATTGTACTGATTATAATAAAGGAGTCTTTCTTTGTAAAATATAGTAATCATGCAGATAATTCATTGTTCAACATTGAGTAGTTCAGCATTGAATTATCTTGTCTCTTCTTACTAGAATTGCCTTATGCTCCAGCATGCATCTTTTATTTGTTTGATTAACTCCTGCCTTTCTTAGTCTTTATCATCTACATCTGTAGGAATATTTATTCCTTCCTCTCTATAGTAAAGTAGAGTGAGAACAAATGTATGTCCCTATTCTTTTCTTGTATCCCGCAGAGAATCTATCACAGTATTAGATATACAGCATATACTTGTTGGTATAGTTCTGATCTTCTGGACACACAGCCTTACATAATGTTTGGATTCCCCAAGAAACCTTGTTTCTGACTAACTTTTGAGCAGAAAGGTCACGTGTCCATAGGACAGCATCATGATGATTTTGCTCTTCCAGTACCTGCTCTCTCAGATGTATTTTCACTAGCAGCTCCAGTGGTGGCTGCATCCACTCCTCCAGTTGTTCCTACTTGGAAGAATAATGGTGCTTAATATATATGGATAGTTAGCAAAAAAAATTCTTTCAGGATATTCAGTTTCATGTCGTTTTCCTAAAATATCGTCCTTGGTTTTCTTTACTTAATCTCGTTATCGTATTCTGGGGTCTTGGGAAAGCTTGTGTTAGACCCCAATCACAGCCCCCAAAAGGGTCTCTGTCTTGCCTGCTGGGTTCCCAGGGCTGGTGGCCCCAGTGCCTGACACTCCAGGTGTGCTTCCCCTGCCTGCTCCTGTGGTAGTGCCCATGGATCTTCCAGTTGTACCTGACAAACACAGTAGCAGTAATTTCAACATATGGTACTTCTGAAGGAAAAGACTGGGAGATTCAAGTCAAATTTCAAGTTTCTTGAGCAGCTTACATGTTTTGCTTATGCCCATTTATCAGGTGCTAAAGCATGTTTTGACTACACCCATTTAACAAGATCTAAAACACGTGTCCTGACTTGCGTGATTGTCCTGGGGTTGTAGCTCCTTTGCTTGGTCCCCTGGGTGTGTTGCCCTCCTCTCCTCTCCTTGTTAGGGCAGGAGGGCCTCTGGTTACTTTTGATTTTAAAAATATATATATTTTTAAAAATTCCCTGGCTGGGCGCAGTGGCTCACACCTGTAATCCCAGCACTTTTGGAGGCAGAGGCAGGTGGCTCACCTGAGGTCAGGAGTTCAAGACCAGCCTGGCGAACATGGCGAAACCCTGTCTCTACTAAAAATACAAAAATTAACCGGGCCTGGTGGCGGGTGCCTGTACTCAGGAGGCTGAAGCAGGAAAATCGCTTGAACCCGGGAGGCGGAGGTTGCAGTAAGCAAAGATCACACCACTACACTCCAGCCTGGGCAACGAGAATGAAACTCCATCTCAAAAAAAAAAAAAAAAAAATGTCCTACACATAAACCAACTCATTTACTCTTATAAAATTCCTCTGAAACAAGTCATAATATTATTCTTATTTATTAGATGTGATTAAATGATTTGCTTCAGGTCACCAAGTTGGTTGACAGCAGATCCAGGAGCCAAATTCAAGCAGTCTACCTACAGTTAATACTTCTACCTGTGCTTCTCAAACAATCTGTAGCAAAAGATCAATTTTGTAAAATTTCCAGTGTGTGCTAGATGGATACTTTGAAAAAGGCCATAAAATAGAGAAATGAAATTTTTAAAAGTAAAACCATATGAAACACAAGTCTTTATTTAATAGACAAAAATCATCCTGTAAAATTGCTATGTTTTTAAATGCTTAGTCTCTGTTTCATTTCTTATTACATCAAAAACTGGTAACAATCTGGCTTGTATTCATCTGTCGACCAAACTTTGAGTAGCCCTGCTCAAAATCCTTATACATACTGCCTCATAACCAAAAGAGATAGCTGATTGACTTATCATTATTATCCAAGTAATTTTGATGCAGGTTTTAAGAAATGTAAACAAATGGTCATTACTCTAAAATTTAAGTTTACTGACCTAATTGGAATGAACCAGTTTCTTAATTTGTGCTAGTGTACATTGATTATATCCTTTAAACCATTAATTGTTACGTAAATTATATCTTATTCCAAAAAGTGTTTAAGTTATAACGTTTAAATCAAGAAAATTGCTAAGGGAAAGTAAATGTAGAAAAAATAAAATTAGGCCATGGATTTGTTAGCAAATGCATAAAGAGAAATAGTTCCATGTATACACTAAAGAAATGGCTTTTAACCCACGTATGTATGTAAAGAAGTTTTGATTTATATTAAAAGCAATCAGAACAATTGAAGAATTGTAAGTAGTGGAGTGACATGATGATAGTTGAGATTTTGGAAGTCCATTCTGCCATGGTATTGACGGCAGCATAGATTGGGAGGGAAGCGAGAAAGGAGTGGAAATGTTAGAGCAGTAGTTTTCCACTTTGATGAGCATCTGTTGCATGGACTTGTTAGTAAAGTGTTTGCTGGGCTCCACTCCAATAGCTTCTGATTTTAGGCAGGTGGGCCCAGATATTTTCATTTCTAACGAATTCCCAGAAGATGCTGATGCTGCTGGTCCAGAAACCACACTTTAAACACCATTGTGTTTGGAGGAAGGTGAGCAAGGTGGAGGCTAGGTTGAAAATGTTTAACATCTGAACAAAAGCAGAGGCAAATTGATGCAGAGAAGAAACTTAAGAGATACTTAAAATTAGTAGCTGATTGCATGGTGGACAGGGGTGAATTGTGGCTTTTTTGTTTTCTATCCAAATTACCTCTGCTTAAGGAAACCAATAATATTTTATTCATGAAACCAACAGTAGTTAAAATTCAGTCAATGATGTGTACGGCAAGCATATCCTCATTGGCTTTTGTTGGATCTAGGTTTTTATACACACACAGAGCTGTGGAGCTAGCTATTCCACACCAGACAGGATTCTGTGTTCTAAACCTGCCTCTTCCAGCTTGGAGACCTTTTATTATTTTCTCACCTACTGCGAATAACAACAGATAACTACCGTGGTGTAATTGTTGATTAAATTACATACTACATATTTGAAGACAATTCAGAAATCTTCCTGTGCCACAGAAACATATCATTAGTATTTTATTAAATATTAATCATTGAATTTTTCTCCATGGTCATTTAGCTGACTTCAATAGCTCTGACATTTGGCCCTGTTATATAATGTTGTACTCAGGGTAAAGTTGTTGCCAAGTTGAAACAGAGGATTCCTAGTAGAAATCGGCTATGGAAGAGATAGTATTTGACTCATTTATTTGTCTCATCTGTTCTGAAGTCACTTAAATTTCCATGTTCAGCTCCTGTGGTTATACCTGGTAACACTCCAGTTGTCCCTGATAAATGTAAAGAAAAAACAAACATCTGGCTAAAAAAAAAAAAAAAATGCATAGGTGCCAACAACTATCGAGGTCATGATCACATATAATTGTAACATGATATACTTTAAGGAAGCAACTTGTGAAAAGACTAAAGATATGACATTTCAATTACATATGAGGAATAATCACCTAACTCTAATACTTTTATTTTGCAAAATATTGTCCTGAGTAGCATCTCCTAAAATGAGTTGCTTAGCTGAGGCTGGTATACTTTGTTCTGAATTTAATTTACCTGCCATGCCTGAAGCACCAGTGACGGTGGGGCTCACTACTCCTGTCATGCCTGCATTTCCAGATGTTGAGATGATGGGAACTGAAGTTTCAGTAATGCCTGAGAAAACATAAAATTAACTTCTCATCTGAAGTCTATTAGGACTTTATTGCCATGGAGTGAGTTAACTGTTTAATCAATTTTACTATAGAAAATAGAATCAGTAAAGCCAGTGACTTTCTGCCTTGAGTTCCCTAAGAATTTCTTTTAATATCATTGCCTTTTTTTCTTTTTTACAAATATAGCTTTCTGCATCTTGAACTGAGTCACACTAGGTCTTCATATATTTTTCTAAATAACTGTTTTAAAATAAGCAGAACCTACAGCCACTGTGGAGAACAGTTTGGAGGTTCCTCCAAAAACTAAATATTGAGCTACCATATGATCCAGCAATCCCACTGCTGAGCATATAGCCAAAAGAAAGAAAATCAGTGTACCAAAGACATATCTGCACTCTTATATTTGTGACAGCACTGTTTACAATAGTTAAGATCTAGAAGCAACCTAAGTGTCCAGCAACAGATGACTGGATAAACAATATACGAAATGGAGTACTATTCAGCCATAAAAAAGAATGGGATTCAGTCATTTGCAACAACATGGATGGAATGAGAGATCATTATGTTAAGTGAAATAAACCAGGCACAGAAAGACAAACATCACATGTTCTTACTTTGTGGGATCTAGAAAAATCAAATCCATTGAACTCATGACCACAGAATGTAGAAGGATGGTTACTAGAGCTAGGAAGTGTAGTGAGGGGTGAGGGAGAGGTGGGGATGGTTAATGGGTACAAAAAAATTAAAAGAATGAATAAGACCTACTATTTGATAGCACAATAGGGTGACTATAGCCAATAATAATTATATATTTTAAAATAAGGAACATAATTGGATTATTTAGAACACAAAGGGTAAATGCTTGAGGGGATGGATACCCCATTCTCCATGATGTGCTTATTTCACATGACATGCCTGTATCAAAATATCTCATGTATGCTATATATGTATATATCTACTATGTATCCACATTTTTGAAAATAATTTTTAAAATTTAAAAATAAAATAAAATAAGCAGATCTTTATGCCCTAATCACTGTTGCCTGGCACTGATAATAACAATAAAGAAACACTATCATGAAATAGTTAATTGCTACTTTTAGGCTTAGAAAGCTAAGAGAGTAACATATGTTATTAGATGTGCAACCCATATTCTTTAAAAAAAAATTAAAGATATTTACTACTGTTGCAGATGCTATGTTAATAGTTAATGATAAAGAAGAAAATCAAACTAGAAACCATGTTTCTATAGCCAGTCAATATAAACTGATCGAAAACAAGTAAAATTCAAGGTTTTTAAGAAAAATTTAAAACCAGTGGTAAAAACCTAGTAAACTACTTGTTTGAAATATTTTTTCTAAAGCCAAACTGTCCTATAAATTCTTTCTTAAAACCCAAAGTGACTAATAATTTATAGAGTTGGATATTTTTATTTAACATGTAAAACCAGGAATTAATATACTGACCTGTAGTAAAAGGTTCGGTGAGAGGACCTAGAGTTGTTCCTAAAAAGGAAAACAGAAATGTGAATTTTTCCAACCTCAAGGAAAAAATACTAGAGAGATTGTTCTGCTGTCGTGTAGTTTTCAATATAGAGTAATTTGTAATATATTTAGTGTTTAGAGTTAATAATAAATTTATATTTCATTTTTAAAATAGTGACATACATGATGTACTTTCCAATGTATATATACACACACATACACATATGCTGAATTCTACTAAATACAAAGTAAATGGAATGTATATCAACAATGGCAATAAATTCTCTGTTAAGCAGAGGCTGATTTTTGCAGTTTATGGTTTTTTCAACATTTCTTAGCTTCTGGTTGTCTGCAGCTTGGATATTTTTATATTGAGTAACACTTAGTCTATAAGGACTTGGAGGGAAAAGGAGAAATATTTTTTAAAATTTATATTTATGATTTGATATAGCAGGTTTATAAAAATAAATTTGAATTTACCCTAAACAGCTGTTGTGGATTATCAGTGAACTCCTGAAGGAAGAGGCCATGTTTTACCTTTGTATTCCCAATGCCTGCCCATTGCCAGGGATGTGATAAAACTCATCAAATGTTTATTGAGGGCCTATGCACTTAAAAATAAGCCTTTATTAATTTGAGGTTTTCATAAATAATAAATAGTCAGGTATTTTCTCTATTTCAGTGTTAATTTTCATTGAAAAATCCATGGAAATCCATTGCTTACTTTATGTAAACAATACCATTTTGCAATTTTATAGTGTTTTGGAACTTCAAAAAAAGAAGGAGAGAAACAAACTTCTCACACAATCTATTTGATCCTCACTCCTCATCCAGCCACACTGGTCTTTCTATCTTTTCTACCTGCTGTTTGCAGTTCTCTGTACTTGGAACATGGTTCTTTCCTCCTCTTCTCCTAGTTGAGCTTTCATTGGTCAGTTCTCAACTCAATCATCTTTTCTTCAGTCTTTCCTGAGCTCCTTGACAGGATTAAATCCCTTCCCTCTCATCCCATGCCCTTTTAGGTACTCCATAGCTCTTGTGTTGATGTAAGTTTCCATTTGTTTTTGTAATTACTTAATTGATATCCATATTCCTGACTAGTCTGTAGGCTTTATAAAGGCAGAAACCACATCAATTTTATTCACTTTAGTATCTCCAAGGCCTATAAGAGTGCCTAGCACATAATAAGAGCTTGATAAGTATTTGTTCATAGACTGAATGAATGAATGGAGTAAAAATATTTTACCCATTTTTCTTATAGAGAATGGGGCTCAGAAAAGTTGAGTGATTTGTTCAAGATCACACTGCTGGTTAGTGACAAAACTAGGACTCAAATGTAAGTCACCCAGTAATCAGGACTGTGACCTATACTGCTTTTTATGTTATTCTGCCTGTGTGTATAACACATCACCTCTTGCACTTTTCAAGTTTTCTTAATTACCCCTTCATCTTGTTAATGGAAATATTAAAAATTAGACTAGAAATTGTAGAACACAATATCAAGTAAACAATAAAATATCCTGTCTCCCCAAATTTCTTTACAGAATGTATATTTAAATAAGTATGGTAAGTAGTTTAAGAAAAAGTTTTTGTGACAGTTCTCAAGAGCTGACAAGGTTTAGTTAAGAATTTTCAAAATCAGTATCACACAGACTCCACCAACTGACCAAATCAGATCTTAATATCTTTTCTCACTAATGAGCACAATAGTTGGACATTTGAATCAAAGTATCTTGCTGATCTAATTGTAAGAATAGCATGGAAAGATTGTTATGCCATGATCCACAGAGACTATCAAGATTAGAATGATGTGGAAGAATAGATAGACCCTGATATTCCCAAAGATTTTGGTGCAGATTCCATTTCCCAGTATTGATTTAAACTTTATGGAATTCCAGTGATCCAGTTTGAGCACTTTCAAATTGAAGACGATTACATTTAATTAAAAGCAGCATTATCATGTGGAATAAAATCAAATCTCCAATATTTACACATCTAAATAAATATGCTCTAATCAACATGGATTCAAGAACACAGTTGCACATCGTAGGTGGTAGTGCGCTGATCATCACTATTTTTACCATATGCACAGAAGAACATATTTATAGGCCTTTCCTTATAATTGATGTTGCTGAGATGGCAACATGCTCACGTGCATTTCGAGGACCGATCTTTAATCAGGGTCGTAGAATTATCTAAACTAGGCACAGACTGGAGTGCATACCAGTCAGGCTACTATGATATAGCTCCTTTTTCCCATGAATGAATTTCAGAAGATGTAATCTGAAATTATTGATACAGCAATAAAAGTAGGCATAAGCCTTTGCTGACAGGAATACATGAGAACTCACTTTTCTTCTGGGTTTAATTACCAAAACTGATAGAGACAGCATTCCCGTTCTCATTAATTTTTACATCCATAACCATTACAGTTTCAACTGATTTTTCCATTACTTGCAAATGAACATACATGCTGGAAGTACTTGATACTGTCAATTATATGCATCAGCTTCTTTGTGGACAAGACGTAAATAGTAATAGGAGGAGCTGCCTTTACTGAAACACTAAAAGCTCTGCATGCCTACATGGTAGTATGATACTCCACCCTAAAAACTTTTCCAAGTGGCTTTCTCCACTTGTGTTTCACCTCGTTATAAACTTAATATAAAGTCTTTTAATTAATTTTCTAGCTACCACTAAGTTTTTAAATTACTTCTAAGAATCGTTTTAATTTTTACAAGGAAAAAATATTTTGGCATTTTTTTCAATGAATTTTATTTTACTTAAAATACATGTCTGAAAGATAAGCTTCAGGAGTATCCATAACATTTCGCCTTATAAACAACAAATTCAGTACTGCAGAGCTATAGCTTTTGCAAAATATCTTATTCTGAAAAAATTTAAAAATTCATAAAATTGGCTTTAATTCAGGAAGCAGTATGTTTCTGATTAGTAACTGAAAAAGTATTAAACTCATTCACCTAGTTAATTATTCCTTATAAAATTCACCAATAATAAAGTTGCCTTTACTGAATACTTACTATGTATTACACTAAGCTGCACTATTACATTTACTGTTTTCTCAAATCTTTCCATGTAGAGATTATTATTAGTTCCCACTTCACAGATGAGAACACTTAAACCTCAGGCTGCTTGAGGGACTTAAAACAGGGTCAAACTTTAAGGGGAGGGATTCAAATTCTTATTTCTCGAATTCCACATTCCACTATACTCATCTACCTCCCTTTGCCTGATGCGATTCTGTTTTTTTATGATTGATGCTATTTTATAATAAGCACATTGTATAAACAAAATTTATATATAACTTAACAGTGGTAACATTCTAAGATTTTAAATTTTTGAGCAAATATGCATTTTAACAGATTATATTGTTGTGTAACAGAAACCCACTTTTAAATTATATGTCAGTATCATACATACTCATTCAAAAGGGGGATTTTTTGTTTTAATATAAACCTACTAAACAACCTATGATTTTAACGTAAGTCCCAATTTGAAATCAGAATCTGTAATTACATGTTGCTACTTCAATAACTGATTTAAATTAAATTCAACTTCATCCTCTTCTTTAAACATGGAAACACAGGGGCATTAGGACTGGAGTCTAGGAAATATGTTCTGAATTTTAATTATCTCTGCAACTTATTAGCAAGTAACCTTGAATGTATAACTTAACCTCTTTGTGTTTCCATTTATTCATTTGTAAATAGGGGGAAATGATGGCATCACTTCAGGGAATTTTCTGTATCAAATCAGATAGTATATGCCATATACGCAAAGTAGCGCTCAGTAAATATTAGCTCTGTATCAAGATCAGTCAATCTAAAGAGGAAAAGCCCCATAACTGCATAATTTTTCTTCTAAAAATAGCATGTTTATTAGAATGGTTAGGCATCTCTCAGGGTATTTTAGCCCTTTGAAAGCATTCACTGTATGGAAAAGAAAATTGATACAGAAAGCATGTGGAGAAATTAAAGTTTGCATATTGCTTCCCTTTCACTTTAGAGTTTTCTGTGATGTTTTTCTAAACTCCTCAAAAGTTACCCTTTACTTCTATGCTATTTACCCCAACAAAAAACTTAAGATCTATTCAACAATGAAGTCATACCTTGTCTTCTATTCAGTACTTATCCAGAGAACAAGTTAGTGGCAAAAACCTGCACTCCCTAGCCCACTGCCCCACTGAGACTCTTTTTAAAATAAATCTTACCTTTGTGTTCAATAATTATAGGTTTTTATGTTTAATTGATTTATTTTAAGACAAAGCAAAAAGTAAAAGTAGGAAAGTTTTAACTAAGTTAATTTATCCCACTTATCATATTGGTTCTGCTCAAAAGCACTAATATATTATCCAAAATGAAATGGGTTCCCATGTCCAAGAAACAAATCTTTTCATTTATTATAGATAGCTCATGGAAAGGCAATACATATTTGAAATGAAGTGTCTTCTTAGTTATATTATACCTGAATATAACCTTTTACTTTTCAATCTCTATTTAAATATCTTTGGTTTATGCATACTATATTTTGAAAGAAACAAACAAAAAAAAACCCTTTGCTAGTGATGATATCCAAACATTTATTTTAAAATAAAACAAATGTGGGATTCATTGTTCTCATCACTGATCAAGTGAGGCTTACCACTAGAAGACTTAAAAACAAAAATCATTTTGTAGTTATGGATTCATCACAATTTGTCAATTCCACTTTTACGCCACCATTGTCAGTAAAAGAAATAGGATGCATCTTTCAAGCCTACAATTTGTGCAAAACAATTGCCTACAAAAGACCTTTATTTCTTTTAAAAAGAATTCCATAAGTAAACAACTTAAACTGTTTTGTTTTCACAATGGCATAATGTTTATTGGATGAATTTAGAAAGAAAAAGAGTGTAAAAAGAAAAAATAAGTTGGTATCTCTTAAAGGAAAATGTTTTATTCTTACATGAAAAATGAAAAATAATAGATGTGACTTTTTTTCCTTTGGAGCTCCAAAATAAAAATATCAGTAAACACCTATCTAGCACTTTCTGGGTTTCTTCTGATTACCATCCTCACTTTATATAAATGATCATGATTCCTCGGTCATAAGAAAATCGGCATGTCATCTCTTAGTTGTTAAAATTCAGAAATATCACGTTTTATTTTGAATAGTTTGTACTCAGTCCAAGTCCCTAGCACAAGTTGAAGTAGACTATTTATGATTTCCAGTTAATTGAATCAACAAAGATGGCCAACTGGTATGCTCCAAGCCCTCAAGTCACAGATTTAAAGGAAAACTAAGTTAATCATTATTTGAATGATTTCTAAATGCCCATCTGTATAGTGTGATATGGTCATAGCCTCAGAAAAGATAAGGAACTAAGAATTACCTCTAATTCTTACCACTGATCATTATTTTTAATTGAAATTTGATACATCTAACTAAAATTTAATTAAAGTTTTGTATGCTTCAGTTTATCTGGAAAATTAGCACTTCCTAATCTGTTCCAGCAACAAGATAAGCTACACATACATTATTAATAAATGCTGGGAATATATTATTAATTTGATAATTTGATAATGTTTTCTGTACCTTGGGATTACTTGACTAAGTTTATTTGAAACACATACATTTTGTGGCACAATTGGAAAATTTTAATATGAGGGAAAAAATAAACATTTTTATACTTCTTTGTCTCCTGATTTTAGAATGATGTTGACTACGGTTTCTGGCTTTCAAGGATAACAAGGAAAAGAAAACCAATCCTGACTTCTCTCTAGATCATGCCAGAAAGTCCTTTTCCTTCTGATCCTTATAACCCTGAAAATGTTACTTAAGCTCTTTGCATTTCCTCACCTATAAAATGATGAGGTGAGGAGGACTGTGCAGAATAACAATCAGAGGATTCAGATTTAATGAGATGCTGAATGAAAAATATTTAATATAATGACTAGAATGAGGTAAATCCTCAATAAAAGTCATTTTAGGATATCTTTCAATAAAATACTAACATAGCATTTTGTTAATTATTAATATTATGCTTACAGAGCATGAAATATCTACCAGAATTTCAGGGAAATAAAATAAAACATTAGGATTCAGTAAGGCAAAGCACAAAAGTCATAAATAATGCCAAATGAATTCAGGGAAAAAATCACCCAGGTAATCTTTCCTATAATTCAACTCTGCATTTGATTTATAATTTTTAAAATGCTGCCATGAAGATGACTGATAAGATTTTTATAGTGTTTTACAGTAAATGAGACAAAATATTACATCCAAAACTTAATCAGTTTCTCACAAAAACCCTGTCAGGGTAATCTACTTATGTTCTTCTGTTTTCCATGGACAGTTTGCTTGCTACAGTACAAAGTGGTTGACAAAACTGAATATTACATTCAAAACTAGGTGTTTGAAATGAAAATATATATATATATATATATAAGCTAGAAAAATCAAACCACTTTTAATAGTTTTAGGTAAGTATTGTGATATAGGATATAGATATCATCATCATGATACTGAAGAAATAGATGAAATTGTTATCTAAGCTGCTTATGATTCATGCATATCTATGCAGTTCATCAAATCAAGGAAAAAATTATTTCTTTAAATGATCACAAGATTCAAAAGTTTTAATAGCTGATGAATGACTTTGACTAAAGGAGAACTTAGTAACTGAACCAAATTAATCATCTTTGAAACAGAACCAGGCTGAGAATTAGGGATGTAGTCCACTGCTTGTGACTGAGGGTAATATGTAACTAGAAAATTACTCTGCAGTGTGTAAGAAATAATTCAAAAAACCATTGGGATGAAATTGTTATTGGTCTTCTGAAATGAATTTATGATTACAGACTGAAGAAGAACATTTGTGAAATGTGTCAGGCTTTCTGAGATTTACATTGAAAGAGCTAGTAATGCTTTGTGTTGCTAATGGTATCCAACATAAGAGAAAGTTTGACAGGAAGTAGCATGCTGTTTTCGGTATTTTTAATAATATTGTGCACTGATGGCTGATGCTTTAAGATATACATATATTTACTCCTTTAATATAAAAATATATTGATTAAAAAATAACTCAGACAATACTAAGATATAGAAAACGTTTTAAATTATAGTCATAATTCTATATTATGATATCAATTTATAATCCAATAATAGTCTTGGTTTTACACTCTATCTTTGTATAGAAGATTAGCTCTAATGAGTGAAATGTATGAACTGTCGGATTTACCAGTATAACTAATATCTAATAAATAGTTTAACCTTCACCAGAAATTCTGCGCTAAAATTCTAAACCTGAGTTCTAAATTTTCCACGGGGAAAAAGAAGAGTTGTTTATTCACTCCGTAAATACTGAATGCGAACTATTCTGTACCTTGCCATTAGGTACAATTGGGAATACAAGGATGGCGAAGCATGGTCTGTGACTTGAAGGAATGTATTCATTTAAGACTGGATAAATTAATAAATAACAAAGAAGAGAAATAGTGCTAAGTTGGGGGTAAAGACCGTAAGTATAGAAAAGTGAGTATGTGAAAAATAGCGCAGAGTTGGAAGGGAGAAATCTATGGATGATTTTCTCAAACACATAGGCTCTAGAAAGAAATGACATACATTACGCATGTGAATCTTCAATTGAGCAAAACTGACATCTTTTTAATTGTACAATTAATTAGTTTAAAGAAAAGAAGGTGACTATTATATATTAAAAACAACAATAACGTGTAGAGTCACAGTGCTAAATTGTCTGTTAGCCATTGTTTTCAAATTCTTTTTTTCTCATATTTTCATTTTCATTAAAGACACTGAAACATACTCAATGAATTTTTAAATTTAGGTGGAAAGATAAAATAGCAAACTAAACTAGGGAAACTGTTTGGATGGTCCGAGGGAAAATTCAAACCCAAATATTTTTAATGTGTAATCAAACTGATGTTGATTCCAATATTTAAGTTGTTCAAGGTTTCAGATACAAACCTTTATTCAAAACTTTATTTGTCACTTATGGATTTTCTGATTTACCTACCTGTTGTTTCACTGCTTGATGTTGTAATCGCTGGAATGGATGCTGCTGAATTTGAGAAAACAATGGAAAAACTAAGTTTTATATGCAGGGAAAATTATACTTCCAAGAACATCTATGGTCATATGTAAAATGGATCAACTTGAAATGACTGTATCAGACAAAAAAATCATCATATAGGTGAATAGAAGCCCAAATATTAGTTTTAAAATTTATAGGCCTTGAGTAAAAGGTCAAAACACCTTATCATTTGGTATAATGCTTTTTTTCCCCAAAAGCTTTCTCTAAAAAATTCTTTTTTAAAAAAGAAACTTTGTCTATTTCTTCTAAAAATGTCATTGCAAAGATATAATACTGCAAAAGAAGGTTTGGGTGTTTTTAAAAATCCCCCATTGATTAAGTTGTGGCTTAGAGGTGACAGCTTACCTGTGCTTGGGCCACCGGTAACCAGTGTAATTGCTATGCAAAGAAGAAGACAAATATTTGGAAATGAACATTAAACTGGTATTGAAAGATGAGGTTAACCATATCTATTTAAACATGTTTTGAGATCTCCAGAATGCAAATAAATGATTAAATGTAAGTTAAGTTCACTTATCAGATGTTTACACAATTCAATATACTTTTGTACTCCACTAGCTACTGTTTTAATGATAAAGCATCCAATTAAAGTTAAAATTTTCTTAATGTTAATAAAAGAAATTGTAAATTACTTTCAAGGAATTTAACATAGAATTTTCTGACATAGCCACTTCCTCCACATCAGTAGTATGTAGAATGTTCTTAGGACAGACAACCTTTGAAAAGGGAAGATGTTCTTTACTAATGTTACAATTACATACAGACCTCCTACTTGGCATGGGCCTTTAGCAAATACATAAATGGAGAATGAAAAATTTGAAAAAAGAGCCATGATTCCTGAACTATAAATTATCTTTGCTGCTCACTTAGGAGCTATAAAAATAATTAGCAATTTTTAACTTATTTACCTGCTCCGGTGCTTAATATGGTGGTAGCTGTTGTAGTGGAAACTGTTTAGGAAACACAATATTTATGAAAATAAATTAATTGAATAATTTTTGCTTGGAAATATAGTTCAAGAAACCAGTTGTCGTAAACTAAAATTAAAATTTCTGAAACGTGTACAGATGTTAAGTGACAAAATAATTTTTTATTTATATCAATACAAATAACACCATATATTTATGTACGTCCACCAAAAATAACTATTTCCTGTTATTATCACTTAACCAAAATCCCATAGGAACTTTATAAGGTCTCTTTATGGGCCAATAATAACTTAAAGGAATGTGGTTCAGAACCCTGACATGTGATAACTTCGCTTCAGATAAGTGACCAAAAATAACTAAAATTTAACTAGCATTTTACAGCAGGCTGCATAATTTTAAAGAAATTGTCAAAGCCTAAGGTCTCCTATTTTCTGTACTATCTCTTAATTTATACTACCCACCTCCAAGTATCAATCAACAGGAAATAAAATCCCAATTTATAACACACAAGGCAGGAATATGTAAGTGTACTACAGCAACTCAAAGTGTACTTATATTGCCAAGAAGTTAAATGTCCCAAAACTAACATCCAGCATCCTCCTGAGTAAACATAATTGTAATGCTCTGGGTGGGTGATGGTTCAAGCCTATAATTCCAATGCTTTGGAAGCAGTGAGCTATGATCATGCCACTGCACTCTAGCCTGGGCAGCAGAACAAGACCATGTCTCTACAAAAATAAAAAATTAGCCAGGTATGGCAGCACATGCCTATGGTTCAAGCTACTCGGTAGGTTGAGATGGGAGGAGCACATGAGCCTAGGCAATAGAGGCTGCAGTGCACTGTGATCGCACCATTGCACTCCAGCCTGGGCAACAAAGTGAGACCTTGCCTCAAAACAAGAAAGAAAGCAAGACAGGAAGCAAGAAAGCAGGCAAGGAAGGAAGGAGGGAGGGAGGAAAGAAGGAAGGAAGGAAAGAAGGAAGGAAGGAAGGAAAGAAGGAAGGAAGGAAAGAAGGAGGAAGGAAGGAAAGAAGAAGGAAGGAAGGAAGGAAGGAAGGAAGGAAGGATGGAAGGAAGGAAGGAAGGAAGGAAGGAAATAATTTTTTATTTCTGTTTTCAAATCATCCTCCAGCATGATGATGGTTTTAAAATATTTACTTCACAGAAGGCAACATTTACTTCTACTTCATCCACTTATTCAATTATTATCTAAAAATATCAAGCTTTGGATGATGATATTTAACTAACATGCATTTAAAATATTAATGAATTAATAACATAAATATTAACTAATAATACCTATTGTATGTTTAATCATATTCCTAACTTAATAGGAATATAATGAAATGATATTCTGACATATTTCTAGTAACTGTTCAGTTTAATTTAAAATTTTTATATCAGCAGATTTACCATCATACCTTTTACTGGCATAGATTGAAGTGAAATCATAAAGGATTAGCTACACAAAGAAATCAGAAATACAACATTTAAAATATAATGATGATTTTACCTGCAAATGTTGAATTGGTAGGAGCAGTTTCTGAAATAATCATACATTACTGTTATTGACAGGAATTTTTATATCTTGAAAAAATTCTACAACTCAATTTGTCTATAAGTCATGTCTCTTTTTATTTTACTTCTTGCAATTCCTAATATAAAAAGGAGTAGCTCACGTATTCTTTTGAAGGTTTTTGAGATTTATTATTAAGATGTGTGTTGTGGCTAGGTGCAGTGGCTCATGCCCATCCATAATCCCAACACTTTGGGAGGCCAAGGCAGGTGGATCACCCGAGGTTAGGAGTTCGAGACCAGCCTGGCCAACAGGGTGAAACCCCATTTCTACTAAAAATATAAAAATTAGCCAGGTGTGGTGGCAGGTGCCTGTAATCCCAGCTACCCAGGAGGCTGAGGCAGAAGAATCACTTGAACCAGGGAGGTGGAGGTTGCAGTGAGAGATATGTGTTGCTCACGAACAATCCTTCAGTTATTTAATTCATTCTATATTGATTCTCATCTTCTATTCCTTCCCTTCATTAAACTGTTTTCACTGATGCCTCACTCCCTCAATTCCCAGAACCTACAGTTAGGCAGGGGCATGTATGCAGTAGGTGCACCCCCTGAGTATCAGCCATGGCCCCATCTGACAGTTGTTCAGCATATCTTGGCAGCACTGGTTTCCAACAGCGACTCACCATGGATAATCGCTCTGGGATGGAATTGTACCAGTCTTCGGAGGGACAGCTTAATGCATTAAGTCCCTGCCCTTCTGGTGATTGGTCTAAAAAAGATTCCCAGCCCCTCCTCTGATTTGTCATAAATCAATTAGTGTAAAATTTAATGACTTACCACTGCACTCCAACTGCCCTGCAATGCAGTAGCTGAAAGTTAAATTTAAAAAAGAAAAAAAGAAAGAATTGGAAAATTTGACTCTTATTTGCATACAGCTCACAAATTTAAAACAATGACTTGTCTGATTGAAAACAAACAAAACCAAATAGAAGTAAATATTTGTTTCCCCAAAAGAATACTATTGATTCAAATTGCTTGTTTTTCCATGTGCTGCTATACCCAATCGTTTCACTGAGGAGCTCTGGGCACCTGAAGAAATGGTGTGCAGGTGACCCTTAAAGGTAGTTCTTACATAGTCAATTTCAAACACGATGTTATTTGATGGCCGTGGTGACCTACTATGACCCTGTCAATTTGCTTCCATGTAACTGTTTGAAAGCCTGTGAACATAATCTTACATTTATAGAATTAAAACTCTTTTCCCCTAAAACTACACAATGACATTTTCCGTCCTGTGTTCTGCATTATTAAGTATAAGATTACACAAACCATTTGTTGACATGTGAATTGTCTGAAAATAAAAATAACTCACATAACTGATATAAAGTGAAGCTAAAGCTGGCCTTCTCATTTAGAAATGGCAGGATCAAAAATTATAGATATATACATGTATACATAACATATATATTATTAACATAATATATTCATACATATATTTGGTTTTTCTCCTAAATGAAAAGGCAAAAGTCAAAATTGCTCATTGAAAAGTTAGTAGAGAATATACCATGTTCTTCCACAATTATCTTCAATCACTCCCCCTGCTGGTATGACATCATTATAGAAACAGCTGCACTCAGATAAACTGACACATTTCATGGTGTTCTCATCCAAGTAAGGAGCACTATCTGGGCACTTAGCATAACAACCTGTGTGTAAAAATACCCACAATTCATCTCTATCTACTGAAACACATTATACTGTATATTATATATTTGTAAAATTACTTAAATGATGCCATGAAGTGAAGTAGATAATAGCAAAACAACATCACACTCATAATGAAAATATATAAATAAAAGAAGGTTCAGATCTTCTTGCAGTGAAATGTCAAACTAAGAACTTACAGATTTTGGTTGATTTATTTTTTTCTAAAATGATTCTTAAAGTAATTTTAAATGATTTGCTACTTTCATAATGGGTGTGATGCTGTGACATAAAACAGGCTCTGGTAAATACACATCTTGAAATGTGAATGCCAGTTTCAAATATCTGTCTTTGCAACAGTAGGTAAAGATACAGAAGTCATAGCAAAATAGGCTAAAAGTATGCCAAAGGATTTAACACAGATGTGACTTTTGGAAAAGTTTCATGTTATCCTGTTTTCTTGCCCGTTCTTTGTTTCTCTCTAAAATATATAATGCTAAGAATAAAATGCTGCTTAAGTGTGAGATACAGTTAATTATTACGGTAATTATACTACTCAAGCAAGACTGTACTATATGTTGCATTCTGAAACTGCATTCACACTAAACAACATTGTCTAATCAAAGATATAAAGAGTGACAATAGGATCAGAGTGCTGTCTCCCATCCCCCACTAAGCTTATGTTTAGAGAAAATGTTTCTAATGTAGAAACATTAATGTCATAATAAAGATAACTATTCATTAAATTACGAAATGTTAGACACGAAATTAGGAGAAACAATCCTTTCCAGTTAAGATGAATATCATTTGCACTACTTTATGCATATTCTTAAAGTATGTCTTACCTTCTAAAAGTGAAGAAAATTTCTGGCCAACGAGCTGATCTTTGCATGTTTTTGCAGTCACTGTGCCACAAGGTTCATAATGCCATCTGCATTCCCCAGGCGCATTGTAGTAATCACAGTAGACAGCTGTAATTGAATTATATTAAATTACTTTCATTCATTATATGACAATTTTCACCTTTCATTTTCCAAAGCATTTTAACAAGGGATTTGGGATGATATTAATAATAAACATATCTAAAGTATATCAGGTCTTATCAAGTTCCTTTGGCTTTATCTAAACTGTCATATAAGTCAAAATAGATCACAAGAGGGGAAGGCATATAAACTCAAAATAGCACTTTGTTTTGCCATCTCACAGTCAGGTTAGTTTGAGATTAAAAAAGTAAACATTAATTTTATCATTTGGAGATATTTTAGGTCATAGTCTAGATTCATGGTTTCAATTTCAGCTTTAAATTGGAAAACTAAATCCTAGACAATTAAGCTCTTTAATATGTAAATAACAGTTCCTAAATGAAGTAACTAAAGATGTCAATATAATCTAATCCTGTGCATAAAAAACTGAATAAAATGAGGGTTCTATTTTAACCTTCTTATATTTTCTCTCATAATACTTAGAAGGAAAAGAGCTGACTCATTTCTATTAAAGTTATTACATTCTATATGTATCGAGATTCAGTCTATACTCAATTTTCAGTTCATCTTCTATAGGACTCTATGAAAGTTTTCAAGGAAACATGTGTGAGCACTTTAAGCAAAAGTAATATATTCGGTAAATATTGAAAGAGATGTAAATATACCAAGATAGGTAAACAGTTCATCATCTAAGTATGAATGAGAAATATTCTCCATCAGTATTCATTATTCCCCCTGTGAAAATACAAATTTTTAAACTAAAATTAAACTTGAAGCTCTGGGCCACGTGCTTTATTTTTTAAGTTAGGTATTTTTGCACATCATAAACAAAAATATTAACATGTTTGTAGGTATACAAACATGTGTTTTATAGAAAATATGAGAGGAAGACTGAGGGTCTAACGAAACACTTCTATCTAATTACGTTTTGAAAGAACAACAACATATGGACTTCACTTACGACACAGATTTGGTTTTCTCCATGAGACACAGACTCCAACTGCACTACACGCCTCTGCGTACATAGCCACGGCAGTGCAGAATCCCAGGTACTTCCCCTCCATGTCACATGCACAGGCTTCTTCAATGCACACATCATGGTAAGCACTGGGGTCAACCTAGGCAGAGCACAGCACATGAGTCTCTGGGAGGAAACCCTGTGTAAGTCACTGCTTTCAGAACAATGCTACCTTGTTGTGGCAGTCTCTGAAGGTGCTGTCTCTGAGGATCTCACATTTCCGCACAGCCCAGGCTTTACAGTATGGGTTTGAATCACATGGGAAAGTCTGAGCCACTGTATCTGAACATTCTTGGCTTGTTTTCCAACTATTCCCAAATTCCAGTGCTCCAGAAGCTACTGAAGAGTATCTTGTTGTGAAATCATCCTTGAGATCACCATTGTTATTTCCACAAAGACCACACACTTTGCCCTGTATTGATCAGAAAGGGAAATTTAAAAATTAGTTGTACTAGGGACATTGAGATAGGTAGACAAACAGATAGATGATAGATGAACAGATAGATATCATGATTATGTATATTGGAGCATGAATCTATATAAAATTCCAGTTTCCATGGATAAGATTCCAGAATTTGTGGATAAGATTATTCTCCCATTTAAGATACCCCATGTCACAAAATCATCTAGTATCATGCAGAAAAAATGTCTAAAGAACCAAAACAGGTATGTCTGCTAGTTTCAAATTACACATGAGACTACTTTGGTTTCTTAAAATATTTACTCCAAGGAACACATTTAATTCAAAATATATCAACTACCTGAAAATCACATCATGTGATAATCTCAAGTAACCAAATACGGTTAAGCTACAATGCCTCAGGTTATTGCATTTACTTTTTAACCAGATTTTATTATCTTTGATTACATTTCATATCTCACAATAAGGTTGAAGAAAGGTGGAGGGCTTGTTACTCTAACAGAGACCCTGCCATTCTCCTACACTCTGTCTATGAATACCCGTCTTTAATTTTAGTAACAGAAATGATTTTGCTTCCCCATTATTCACTTGTTAGCGATATACATACATTCCAGTTTGGATCCAGAATAACAGACAGTCTTGTATTTTTGTCCCAAATCACGATTATTCCATTTTGAAATTTCAGAATTAAGTACAGGCCAACAGTATGTATGGAGTATGCATTTGCATTGAGTTCACATTTCTTACTTTCTGTAGATTTGACTGCTGTTACTTTACCGTCTTGCAAGACAATATTCTGATCCTGTAAATTCAGACAGATTTACAATAACAGTTTTATTTGGCTTCTCACAATGTGAGAGGAAAAAATAAAGAAAATAGTACTGTACCTGAAAAGCAACTATAATTTTTCTTGAGCACGTTAGCCCATCTTCACAGCATGGAACACTCTCCGTTAAAATACGAAATGTGCCATTTTCATGACCACAATAATCCTTTAAAATAAAAATTATAATAGTTTGTGAATATTAGAGACACGAACTCAACTACAGTATTTGTGTCAGACAAATATTCTTAGAGAAAATATTTTCCTCAAACTCAATAAATCGCCATATGCTGTGTTACGGAATTTCCAAAAAAACAATAGTTTAACACATTTACAGATAGTTAGCCTTGACTAAGTCCACTCTAGCTAACTTGTTTTGACTCAGTTATTTTCCCATTACTTCTGCACAAGTTCAGAATTATTCTATAAATATGTAAGTCTTTAAAGTATATATGTTTGTAGTCACAGATTTATTTCTAGACTCTATAAATAGCTAGATAAATTTGGCCTTATTTCCTCAAAGACTTTTATGAAACTTGATATTCAAACAAAACTAATGAATAAATACAATACAATCTAAATTTTACCCCTTAAATGTTAGTTAGGAAGCTTACAGCTTAACAAGATGAACTCTGGAATGTATGTAAGCATGAACTCTGTAATCAGACAGGTCTAGGTTTACTATGACATTTTCTATTTGGTAGCTTAAGTTGCTTAAGCTCTCTAAACTTCAATTTCTTCATCTGCATCATAGGAATAATAATATCAGTCTCATCATATTATAATTATTAAATGCAATGAAATATATAAATTTGCTTGGCAAAGAAGCACTCATAAATGGTAGTCATAATTTTTGCTGCCAGTGCTGTTGTTAGAACAATCATATCTAGCATTTATTTATTGAGCACTAGTATGTCCTCCAGTGTGTGCTCTCGTGTGGTTTCAAGTAGGGGCTACTTTCATGCCCATTTTGTAAATACAGAAGCTGAGACACTGAGAGGTTAAGGAATGTCCCCAAAGACATGCATCTGATAAAATATGGAGCCAGTATCGAAATCTAGTCCTAGCCTCCAGAGCCAGCAGTACACAATATAACATTTTACTGCCTTCTGGAAACATACAAGGGACCTTTTAAAAATATTTCCCATTTTGAAAATAAAATTATTTGGAACTAATCTACAAATGAATAATTAAGAAGTACAGAAACATTTTAATAAGACATACTCATAATTACCTCAAGAAATGAATACTGGCAGAGACCGTCAAAACTGTAACTCTTCCCATCAAAAGTTCTAACATGACCTTCCCCATAGATGTGGCAGATGGTTTGACATTCATTTTGGGTACAACTCCAAGACCCTTTAATGCAGGTACTAAAAGGAAAAAATGAGAGAGTGTAGTGATTATATTATGTCAGGATTCATATACTAATATTGCTTTTGTAAAGAAGAACAAAATAATGTTTCATATTGATTTAAATTTTGGAGTTGTCTTCATTATAAAGTAGGATGTTCAATATATACAATGCTACATAAAGTTCTGTTTTAAGCATAGCATTTTGGCCGGGCACGGTGGCTCATGCCTGTAATCCCAGCACTTTGGGAGGCCGAGGCAGGAGGATCACAAGGTCAGGAGATCGAGACCATCCTAGCTAACACGGTGAAACCCTGTCTCTACCAAAAATACAAAAAATTAGCCAGGCATGGTGGTGAGTGCCTGTAGTCCCAGCTACTGGGGAGGCTGAAGCAGGAGAATGGCATGAACCCGGGAGGCATAGCTTGCAGTGAGCCAAGAAGGCACCACTGCACTCCTGCCTGGGTGACAGTGCAAGACTCCGTCTCAAAATAAATAGATAAATAAATAAATAAATAAATAAATAAATAAATAATAAAACTAGCATTTTTTCTAACTATATTTGGTCATTTTTTTCAAATATCCCAAAGTGTGACTTCTTCTTTCCTATGAAAATAAGAACAGACTGCATATTTTCTAATATCCAGAAGAAATAAAATAAGAATCCGTTATTAAGCACCATTCATTGCAGCCAACAGAAGTGACACTTCCTTCATCATATTCTCGTCCACCAAAAGAGCATGGACAGTCATTAGGAAAGACACATATCCCTTTAGAATTTCGAACCATTCCTTCTGGACAAAAGCACCCACGTTTGCAAGGCAAGTTCTCCTACAAGAATAAATATAAAATATACACCATGAGGCACCATTCTAATCATGTCATATTATCAGCATTAATTTAAATGCTTAAATATGCCAAGTATGTATTTGGAGTCAATCTTTGACAACTGAAAATAACACACAAAAAGAGCATGACCTTCTAATTATTTTTCATTAAAATTGTAGCTTTCCTAGGACTCGAAACAAAACTTTTCAATGGCTAAACTCTAATACTATGTTACTTACATCAAAAACAGGTATGTTCCGAGTACTGCATGTTCTGTTGGTTCTTCTCTGTGCCTTGGGATCACTGCAGTCTACATACTCAGCCCCTCCAGAACAATTTTCTGCAGAATAAGAATTGTCATTAATCAAGAGCCTATTGATCTGTTTTCTTTAGCCAAAGTGGATATTTTAAACTTGCACTGTGATTTTAACACTTACGTAGGGTTAAATCAATGGGAATCTGGCAAAGAAGAATTCCATCCCGACAGACGCTGGAAATAAAACAATTTTATAAATTTAGACATAAGTTTCAAGGACAATTAGTTAAATGAGTGAGACACCATCCCCAGAAGATGCATAAAATGTACCAAAGGATAAGATATCACCTTGTAAATATTACAGGAATATACAAACAGGGTTTTATGGACATCAGAGAAAACCTTGTGGAAAGGATGGCTGGATCTTGATGATAAGTGAAATTTAATACTTCTGATAAGATGCCAAACTGTGGTGTAGGAGAGAATAAGATATGTTCCAGTGACTCAAATGAGTCATGTTTGGATGGAAGGCAGGATGCAAAATGGGCGGAAGTGGTATATGTAGGTTGGGGCCAGACTTTAGATGGCCTTAAATGACTTGCAAATTTGTATTTGTTCTCCAGGTAACTGTCAGTCACTAAAGTTTCTGAGCAGGGAGGTGGCCCTATCAGAATAGTGCTTTAGGCTACATATTCTTTATTATTATTATTATTATTATTATTATTATTATTATTATTATTATACTTTAAGTTCTGGGATACTTGTGCAGAACGTGCAGGTTTGTTACATAGGTATGCATGTGGTTTTAGGCTACACATTCTTGCAGCATTGCAGGAAACATGAGACAGAGAGACAAAGCAATAATGAGCAACCAAGTTAGCTATCACAGTGGTGCCAGCTGAGGAGAGTCTCAAATAGGGTAGTGGTGAAGGGAACTGTAATTTGGAGGTCCTAGCCTGATTCATTGAAAAGTTAATTTATTGATTCCCATGAAAAAAAGAGCAGACTGCATATTTGCTAATATCCAATACAGATAAAATAGTGTAATTCTTTATTAAGCACCATTAAAAAGTTAATCTATTGATTCCCCAAAAACTACAGAGAAAAAGAAATTATCATTATCAAACCCCAGCAAAAGGCTCATGGGCTTTGATATAAAGGGGTTACCTAGGCTTTCCTTTTGAATGACCAAGAAAAATTACTTACTGTTAATGATAGCCTCATGAAACCAAAGAAAAGAAAGGAAGCATATTCAAAATATTTTTGAGTGGCTACTTCATTTTGGCAAGAATTCCTACACCTCTCTATGGAATTAGAAACATGCTTAAATTACTTTGCTCCAGGCTGAGCACAGTGGCTCATGCCTGTAATCTCAGCACTTTGGGAAGCCAAGGCAGGTGGATTGCTTAAGTCCAGGAGTTCAAGACCAGCCTGGGCAACATGGTGAAATACCGTATCTACTAAAAATACAAAATATTAGCTGGGCATGGTGGCATGCACCTGTAGTCCCAGCTACTCAGGAGGCTGCGGTGGGAGAATCACTTGAGCCCAGGGAGGTTGGAGCTGCAGTGAGCCAAAACTGTGCCACTGAACTCCAGCCTGGGCAATTGAAGTGAGACCCCATCTCAAAAAAAATAAAAATAAAAAAAAGAAAAAAATGAATTTGCTCCAAACTGTAGAAATCATAGCCTCCTCAGCCATTACAAAATAGTCAAAATTCTTAAATTCTTCAGAAACTAAGTCCAAATTCTTGGTTATGATCTGACCACTGTCAATGTTTCTAGCCCAATCCTATACAAAACAACCCGCATGTGTAAAATTTTTTCAAACATTTCCTACATCTGTGCATTCTCTTTACTCTACAGGAAGTCATCCTCTACATTTCAATTTTGTCTGGAAAAAGATCCATTCCCTAGCACAATTCATATGCCTGTCTTCTCTGAGAAGTTTTCCTTAATCTCCTCAGGTAGTGCCTGGCCCCTTCTGCTACCATGTTCTAGTATATAAACCTCCTTCTAGTGGTTTGTGCCCTGCTTGCTCGGAGTCCAGGACAATGTTCGTTCAGCTTTGCAACTCCAGCACTCAGCACAAGGCCTGGCACACTGCAGACACTTAATGAGTGTTTGTTGAATGATGACTACTGAGAGACAGCTAGAGAGCATCTTCTGAATATGAAATCATTTCACATCTGGTATATAGAAGCTACCAGAATATTTTTCTACTGGTGTTAAAACAAAACCAGAGTGGGATAAGTCATCTATATCCATTAGGATGCAATGAGCCTTCCAGAATAAAATAGATTTTTGTTAATAAATAAGAATCATAAGTATGGTAGGTCTAAAAAGACTTCATACTGACGAAAGATCATTTATCTGAAAAGAACGCAGTCTCTTGATTTCAGTGTCATAGCAAGTATACGTATAATTTCCATACCATTTATTGTCATCAATATGGATGAGTTTGCCTGGTTGCATGACCTCGTCGTTTATGTAACAGTCACACTGAGATTTCAGTACACAGTTTCCTTCATTATTCTGGTACATTGCATCAGGGCAGGTGCATCCATCAACTGGAACATCTTCTACATCACAGCTCCTATCTCTTTCTGACAAGGATCGGCAAGAACTATTACAGGCTTTTACATTGTACTTGAACACTAGGCCACTTGGGCAAGAATGTTCTGTTGGTACAGAGACAAAAGAAAGAAAGAATATGTACATATCCAGGGAAACAAACAATTTTACTTCAGCTTGATGTTTATAGATATTATCATGAGTTTTCATAATAGAGATTATGAATTTTTTAAGTCCTTGTTCATTGAGTTTTTTAAATTATTTTTTATTCTCAGTCAATACTGAATTCCTATTATATGTTTAAACACTTTGCTGGGGATTAAGCCCATAAACAGGAGAGGCAATACATTGCTTTCACATGGCTTAAATTCCTGGTGGAAGGACAGTCGTGGTACATGCTATGAAGAAACAAGAGGGGAAGCACTAAGTATGTACAGATGAGGATCTACACTTACTGAAGAGGGTGGGTTAGATGAAGAGCAATAAGACAGTCTAGGGAGAGGTGATTCTGTCTGGAGAATAGCCTAAGTCGGAGGGAGAATGAGTCTTTTAAAGAGTACATAGAAGAATAGAAGCTATATGGCCAGAGATAGAATGAATCAGTGGTTAAAATTTACAGGGCCCCCTTAAGGAGTTTGGTATTTAGCCTTAGAGCAATGAGACACCATTAACTTGTTTTAGACTGGAGTGTCACATAGTGAGCTTAGTTCGATTTGGCTTGGTTTTAAAGATTACCCTGGTTTCTCTGTAGAAAATGGATTAGAGGAAGCCAAGAGTGAATATTGAAAGAGGCTACTGAAATCACCCAGGAGAAAAACAATGGTGGTTTCTTGAACCTGGTTGGTGGCAATATAGATGGAGAGATGTGAATAAATTTAAGAGAGATTTTGCAGGTGAAATGGACAGACTTTACTGATTAACTGGATACAAGCAATGAGGTGTTAAATATGATCTACAGGAGGTGTGTTTCTACAAAGTTTGTTGTTTGTTTTTGTTTTTCTCTTGGTGAATCAAGTGTTTTTGTGAAGTCACATTCAAACAGTGCAATAAATATTTTAAAACAAAGCACGGTTTTAAAAATATGATAGTTGAGCCCCTAATTTATTGGTTCATTTTGTTTTTTTCTCAACATAAATTATTCATATTAAAATGTCATTTACAAATGCATTAGCGGTCACAACATTATTTAAATTTCAGCACACGATAATTGAACAGAAACATATATTTATATATAAATACACATATATTCTGCTTTTTCTTTATATGTGAATATATTAAATCAAGATCAATAAATCAAGAAGTAAAATATATAAGGATTGCACAAGGATATTAAAAATAAAACAGAAAAAATCATCTTTGAAAGAACCAGGTAAAAATTTGTAAACACATGTGCCTAAACCACACACACACACAACACACACACACACACACACACACGACTATAGCGAAACTGAGAAGGAAGTAGTTATTGAAATCTTCTCTGCTGCTTACCACATAGGCCAGTTCTCCATCCCACTATGTATGTTTCCTTCTCAGCACACGCTTTCACATAGTTGCCTAAAATTGTACATAGGCAGTCCTGACTGTTTTCACAAGTGCAAGTATATTTTTTGCATTCCTTGAAAATAAGAAACAAATTTATATTGCATTATGAAGTTACTCAGAAGAACAGGTAAACTGAGTATAATAATTTAGTTCCTAACCACTCTTCTACCCCAAAAAAGTTTCTTTGAAACTTTCAAAAACATTTTTAAATATTCAAAATAGTAAATGAATTACTAGCCTGCTTGTCAAAACATTTAGAAAAGGCAGAAAGAGAAACTTATTCAAGACTTTTCTTATTTGGGGTTATTTTCCAGAACCACTTTTGAAGTTGGTATATCTAACACAAGAATAAATTAATAGAATCTAATGCATATCTAAGGATATACTTTAATCTACTGACAATGGTTGTTATTTGAAAATATTTAATATCTACATGCTTTTGTCAATATCAGCAAAGTATTTCTCAACAAGAGGTGTTAATGTTAGAGCCTCACATACCTCATGATAGGGTTTAGGGTTCACAATTGGGTGGCAGGAAGCCAAAGGCCCACTTGAATCAAGAAGAATTCCACAGTGCCTTTCAGCAAATTTTTCTGGAAGAAAATCAGTGCACTCAAAATTAGTTTCAGTAATGATATAATACTATACTTTCTTTTTTTTTTTTTTTGAGATGGAGTCTCACTCACCCAGGCTGGGGTGCAATGGCATCTCGGCTCACTGCGACCTCTGCCTACTGGGTTCAAGCGATTCTCCTGCCTCAGTCTCCTGAGTAGCTGGGATTACAGGTGCGTGCCACTACGCCCAGCTAATTTTTTGTATTTTTAGTAGAGATGGAGTTTCACCATGTTAACCACGAAGGTCTCGATCTCCTGACCTTGTGATTCGCCCACCTTGGCCTCCCAAAGTGCTGGGATGACAGGCATGAGCCACCGCACTCGGCCATAATTCTTTAATTGAAAGAAAAGATGTAAAATTTTAATAATTCTCACTATTAAAACAATTTTTAAAGTGTTTTGCTGTAATACATCTAACTTGTCACTATGTGCAAAAATGGCATGCTGTAATTTAAAAAAAATCTTACACTAAGAGGCAAAGTCTTTGTTAGCTTTGGATTTTTGGATTAAATCAATTTACCTTTCTCTGAAATGCAGTTTCTATATAAAAATGGAATTAGGGGACTATATTATATCTTTAGATGTCTTTTAACTTTAAAATATATACTTATAGCTAAATTCTGATGAGTTGGCAAATAAATCAACAACAACAGCCCCCCCTCCACCCCCACTACACGATCCCTGTCACCTCAGAAGATTATATCAGTTTTCCTGAAGGTCATATATTAGCACAACCAGTATCAATAATTCCAATACACTAAGTTTGTTTTGTTTTTTAATTGGTATTTCGTTGGCTTATAAATAACTAGCATAGTATTAAATTAACAAAAAAAATCATAACAATAGCATCTGAGTAACAAGTGCTTGGCTTAATGATTTTTGGTAATAAAGGAAGCTGTCTCTATTAAAAACAAACTGAGGCCAATTATTTCAAAATTTTTAACAAATTTGCAACCCAGTATCACCACTTTTTATCTAAATATTACTAGCAGATTAGTAAAATACAGTTTAATTTTCTGTATTTTATGTTAAGTTAAATGTAAAGCACTGAAAATTAAATTTAATTAATTTATATATCTCTCCAAAGTGGTGGCATATAGTCTGCTTAACATAAATTGACTTGCTTTCTTATGAGATATACATTCTCATTATAATTGTTTTCACTGCAACACACCAAAACCAAAATAATATGATAATCAAAACCCTGAAATATATATTACGATGTTTACATTAATGCTTCTAACAACTCTCTTAAATCAAAATTAGTAAACTATGCTTTCAAAAGGAATTGCCTTAGTAATGTTAAAATATTATTATAATCTGATAAGACTATTTCTAATATTTATTAATTTAGAAACAACTAATTAACATGTCAATATAATATATTTTAACTTAGCTTCCATTGCACTCTTTTTTTAATGAAAGAAGCAACACAAAATAAAACATTTGTTAGTATCAGCAATACCAGGGGAGCAACCAAAGCATGACTTGGATTTAAAATACTTGGATTTCTGATCTGTCATCCTTACTCACTAAGGATCTTTATTAACCCTCTCTGTGCTCCATTATCATTATCTACATTAGTGGGGGTAATAGTCCCGCCTATACTGTTCATGAGTTTTGGTAGAAATAAATTGCAGTAATATTTTAAAAGCCTTTTGGTAAGCATAAATGTAAGCTGAATCATACCAGTGTAAAGTTTAATTAATTTCTGTATTGGGGCTTGGACAGCAGTGGTTAGGACACCTGGACCTAGCTATAGCTCTTTCATCAAGTGGCTTCACCAGTTTGGGCAAGTCTTGCTATTTCAACCAATGACCATTTTTATAACTAAGTTAAAGGAGGGAATAATTGAAGAACTAAATGTGCCCCAAATCTCTTCTAATCTTGTTATTCTATAATGATGGTGAAAATTGTGTAAGGAGGAAAAGAGTAGATATAGAAAACCAAACAACCAAGATGAACTCCCAGTGAAATATTTGTTTTATAGGAATAAGATCAGCCAGCCAGACTGCTTCTCTGCTGTGTCCTCCAAAATTCAGACAGTACAACAAAAACTAGCTTAAACCAGGATTATCATATTATTACATATATACATACATAAGTACATAATTCCTAGCAACAAATATGTAATTACAGATTTGATAGTCAATTAATATTACCTTTTTCTATACTAATACATGAAGAGGGGTTTCCTTTAGGACAGGACATCATTTCCCAAGAGTTAGCAAATGCCTGAGATGTCTTCTCCAATATATTCTGACTTGACATGAAATCATCCTCTGCTTTGTTGTTGTAGGAACCACAGAGTCCTGTGTAAGAGCACACAACAAAGTTTCACATCTCCTCACCTACTCAATTTTTTGGATTCACATCCTCACTGCACATTCAGTTCTTCACCCAAGTGAAAACCTGTAGAAGCTACCTGAGAATATGTCTTGTTTAGCCTTCATACATTAAGAAAAATTTCATGGCATTTCAGATTTCACCCAAATGCCCTTTCATTAGAATTCCAGGAGCACTGAAACGCCATTTGCCATGAATACTGTCTTTTTCCTGTTTGTCACTGTAACTTTATCTCTTTTGAGGAGCCAACAGAAAGTGTGCTTATAAGTGGGAACTTAGGACTCACATTTGCATGATTTCAGTGTGGAGAGTTGAATCATGTTGAGTGCTATATGCCTTTTTTACCTGGACCCTTCTGACCTATAAGTTACATCTATTCCTTTGTGTAAATAAGTTACCTTCTCAAGTAAAGGTGTGTTACAAAAGCTTCTACTGTTTATAAATTAATAGTCTTTGTGGCACTTGCCATAATCTTTGTTTGTTTTGCTCAACTTTTATGGCTGTAGTTAACTGATTTCTAAGATAGAAAACATCAGTGAAAGAAATGACCATATGATCTCCCAGAAAGACAAGTCATAGTGTAGCTTTTATATGAATTGTGATTTTCAAAAGATTTATATCTACAATATTTTCATTTATTCAACTACAGGTTAAAGCCTTAGTAGCACATACTAGCAAAGTGATACATTAACACATATATTATCAAATCTCATTTAAATAAAAGCCTTAATTTAAAATGTTTAAAATATTTAAATTGTTCAAATCTTTACAGAATAGATTTTGTAATAAGTAAAGGCATATTTACTAGAAAAAGCAAGTTGGAATTATTTTACTACAATGTGGAAGGAAAGATTAAGTCAAAATGGTTTATTGGTTTAATGTTATTAATTAAGAGACAATGGAAATTAGAATAAGTGATGGTAATATTTCAGCCTTGGGAATAAAACTGTATCCAGAGGACTTACCCACAGTGTCTGTGAATTGGTTGGGTGGCATAGAAACATACAATTGCATCACAGGAACAATTTGTATTTGTAGTTTCACATGAAAGTATGTTTCTACTTGAAGGTATGAGGAAGATGCATTGAATATCTGTATTTTATCTGTTAAAATAATTATGAACATTAATAACATGTTCAACAGTTTTTACTTTCTTAAAATACTTTAACATTTTGATATCTGTTAAAAGTCAGAAACGTAATAGCTTTAGAAATTGAATAAATGACTGCATCTTACACTTATTTTAAAATGTTGTCATTAAACTTACCTGAATAGTAATAACCTTGATTTCTAATCTTGTCATTTGTGACTGTTCCATCACTGTTGAATACGTATTTGTCAACTGGAACAGACTAATATTTAAAACACTTTGTTAATATTAATTTACAGTATTAATTTTAATGTAATATATGAACCCAAATTTTTATGTCATGTTTAATGCTATTGGATTAATTAATAAATATCTAAAATATAGACATTTTAAAAGCATTTTTAAGGCACACTTTGCTTCCTTGTTTCTCATACCAACTCTGTGTAGCAGATTGTAAATAAATCTTCATCCCCAACGTGTGGATGCAGAAATGGAAACCTAAGACAGTAACTTGGGTATCCAAAGGTTAAACAGCTTGTAAAGGCCAAAGTCCAAACTACTCGTCTTCCCTTCCCATTTAGGTCTATTTCCACTTATAATGTCAACTCCAAATAAATAAAACTCTAAACTAATGCCATTGCCTTCCTTCATAAATGGTCCGCAAAGTTTAACACTTCAATGAACACATAAATTTGATCCATAATCAACATATTAATTGTATACGTAGAGTAATTTTGATATACTTCAAGACCTTTGCAACTAGCCGGCACTTCCAGAGACTTCATCAATTTTCTATGCAATTTTACTTAAGCTTTGATTATACATAGTAAAACTTCTCTTCTTCAACCTCAGAAATCCTGAATTTATAAAATAAGTGATATGATTTGACTCTGAATAAGGCTTAGGAAGCTTATTACTTACAGAATTCAAGAGAAGTGTAACGCTATTTAAGCACGTTCCTGTCTGACCACTTGGGCACGGACGGAGCTCAACACTAATAGACCAATCTTCATTCTGTAAAAAATGAATTTCATTAAAATGTTTATTAGAATGTCATTTAATTCTATTTATGGTATGCTATTACTAGGTAATTCATTCCAAATGAAAGTTTGAATTTTAAATATGTACAATTCCTACTACAATCAGAGTGCTCTGAGAATAGAAACCTAGTTCAGCCCATAGTACAGCCTCAGGACTGGCCAAGAGCTTTATAGATGGTCCAAGTATCTTGCATAAACTATATCCGTGTAGTTTACCATTGATGAATTTTCACAGTCATCATTTTTTAATTTTATTTTTACTTTTTGTCTTCCCAAAGGGAATGTGCTGCCACATAAGGACTCTTAGGAATTAGCAGTAACATAGTTTGCCTCTCTTCTCTGGACAGTTCACAATGTCTATTTAAATCCAATGTGGGAGGTATTTAATTTGTTAAACTGTAATATAAGTCATATCAAACATGGACTTCCAGATCTCATTTCAATGTCTGGAAATCTGTAATCTATAAGAAGCAAATGTTCCCTACGCTTTGTCATTTTTCCCTCTTACTTTCCCCATCCTGTATCCTAATGGATTTAGAGGAGCATAAAAAGAAGGAATGGCAGGCCTGGCACAGTGGCTCAAGCCTGTAATCCCAACACTTTAGGAGGCCAAGGTGGGAGGATCACCTGAGGTCAGGAGTTCGAGACCAGCCTGGCCAATACGGTGAAACCCCGTTTCTACTAAAAATACAAAAATTAGCCAGGCGTGGTGGCGGACGCCTGTAATCCCAGCTACTCGGGAGGCTGAGGCAGGAGAATCGCTTGAACCCAGGAGGCAGAGGTTACAGTGAGCTAAGATCAAGCCATTGCACTCCAGCCCGGGTGACAAGAGTGAAACTCCATCTCAAATTAAAAAAAAAAAAAAAAAAAAAAGAAGGAAAGGCAGATTATGTTGGTAGGCAACCAAGAAGCTTTATTTTGGAAGAGTGACTTTTAGTAGCAGCAACTACATTTTGTAGCTTATAGGACATTAAACAACATTTCTCAGTTCAGGATTCATAAATTCTGTTCATTTCTTACCAGACAGATTATATAAAATCGCTAATTCTCAGGTAGACTAGATTGCTAATCCTCTGTAGCACAAAATACAAAATGGAATCACTCTTTCATTGAAATTCAAATGACTTAAAATTTTCGTACTGAGAAGAATCTAAATGTAAGAATAGCCTCTATCTTAGTGTTATTATTATATTATAAAAACTAAAAATAAATTTAAGGGAATAATAATGGAAGTGAAAGATGCTTCACGGAATGTAAAAGATTATTTTGACTGGGTGTGGTGGCTCACGCCTGTAATCCCAGCACTTTGGGAGGCCAAGGAGGGCAGATCACGAGGTCAGGAGGTCGAGAACATCCTTTAAATGGTGAAACCCCGTCTCTACTAAAAATACAAAAAATTAGCCGGGCGTGGTGGCGGGCACCTGTAGTCCCAGCTACTTGGGAGGCTGAGGTGGGAGAATGGCGTGAACCCAGGAGGCGGAGCTTGCAGTGAGCCGAGATCATGCCACTGCACTCCAGCCTGGGTGAAAGAGTGAGACTCCATCTCAAAAAAAAAAAAAAAGATTATTTTATTTGAAGCAGTAGTGAACAGTGAGCACACACAAAGAAAAGCAGAAAAATGAAATAAATTCCCTGTGTATTTAGATGATTATGAGTGAATGAAGAGCGTTCTATTTGTTAGGTTGTTTTTTTGCAAGGAATTTCCAAGGAGGACAGGTAGTGTTAATTTAATACTGACAGGTAATACCATCAGTGCCAGTATGTGATAGAAAGCATACTGAAATACATAGCCAGTAACTGAAGGATTGTTCACTTTTTATTTCTTTAAATACTAATTCAAGGTGAAGATTGTGTTCTAAATTGGTTGAGGAATAGCTTTGTTTGTATATCAGTTTGCTCAAATATTGCAGGCTATTACATACGTGAACGGCCAGGAAGTGGCAGTTTCCAGGAAAGTTGTACTTAACACCATCAAAGGTGGTAAGGGAACTTCCTTCCACCTTACATCTTCCAGGGCATAATGCTTCGGTGCAAGACCACTTTGCATCTTGGCATGTGCTATTAAAATGTAATGGTTATATTGAGGGTTATCAATTGTATTTTCTCTATGGTGAAAATAAAATATCACACTAAAAAATCATCACAAGTTAAGACATTTGGTTAAGCTTTATTAGACCATCTTTGTTTCCCACCCAACGTCTCAGCTCTGATAAAATGTCTCATTGATGGTGGTAGCCTGATATTTTAGAAGCCCTGACTATAATGATAACTTCTCATGAATTAAGCATATGAAACTTACAAGCTGGATTTCAGAGATTTTTTAAAATGGAATACGGTTCATTATCAGTATTAAAATACCTGCCACAAGCCACATTGTAGAATTGCACCACACAATACATCGAGCAAGCTTTTGAAATGTGTCTCATCTAAATTGAGACCCACTATAAATGTAAAAGACATACAGATTTTGAAGACTTAAGGAGGAAAAAAAAATTGTAAAATCTCTCATTAACTTGATTTCATATTAATTTTATGTGTAAATAATAGTATTCTAGATATATTGGGTTGTATAAAATACACGACTAAAACTAATTTCACCTGTTTCTTCATGTCTTTTAAAAATTTGTCAACTAAAAACTGTTAAATGATATATGTGGATCATTTTTGTAGCCTACATTATATTTCTCTTGAACAGTGCTCTTATAGACATTTAATAAATTATAGCTACTATTATTTATAATTCTTCATACAAATTAAAATTAATTATTAATATACATATAATATAAATTAATATTGATTATTATCACCAAAATAAAACATTTTCCATTTATAGAGAAAATAGATTTTTTTATTAAGCCAAATTATGTCCCCAGAAAGACACAATACATTTCAGGAAAAGTATTTTGTAGTATTGCAGAAATTTAGAGCTTCAGAGAAAAGCCATAATGAAGACTGGGGAAATCTCAATGGTCATTATATTGTTGTGGAACTCAGAAGGAAGACCCAAGCTGGGTATTCAGTTAATAGTGAAATCATCTACAATAACTTTTGGTACATTAAAATTTACTGATGAATAGATATATTATTCATCTTCACCAATCTAGCCACATATAAAAACTATTTGAAAAGTATTTGGCTCTTTCTAACTGTATGTTTTATTAAATATTCTTGGCAGAATTAGCATCATTATTGTTTCATTATTATAACCAAAATCTTATACTATACTTTGTTCTATATTTGCAACTGCCAAGTGGTTTACTATTGAAAACACTGTTTCTGTTAGTGAATATTATCTTTTAAAGGCACCAAGAAAGATCATATATTTTATAATAAAAAACACACTGAGTCTAAAAACAAAACATCAACAACACAGAAAATGCAGTGAGATTGCTTTTTATTTCTTAAAAGTTTATTTTAAGGGTGCATTTAGGAATTTTTTCAAATTATATAAAAATATTGGTATTATTTTACCATCAGTAATATGTGAACAAAAAGCACACACATACCACTGAGAACCACAAGGACCTTCTCGGACTTCTCCTGGCTGATACACTGTTCCACTGGATTCACAGGGACATTCAGCTTTTAATACACATTTTCCTTTCTCTCCAATGTCATCCAACAGATAACCTAGAACACATCATATAAGGCTAACCACAAAACTCTACAAACATCAGTAAATTGTTCAGCAGTGTGTTGTGAAATTACTCTTGAGATAGTTCTTTCGAGCGTAACATGCACTGAAAATGATAATTTCTTGTTAAAGCAATTACTCCTAATTTGAAAACTGGCAAGAGTATAGAAAACAATTTTCTGAGTTTGAGTTACTGCTACACAGTGCACAGTCCTATTGCACTCAATGTGGGACTAAAACATATTCTGTGGAATACAGAAGCCCTCAGGTATTGTAGAGATGGAAATACACATTAGCTTTAAAATTCTCTCTAACCCTCCTCTGCAGTTTGCTAAGAGGATATATTAGAAGTAGTTAAATTGTTGGAATGTCATGCTATAAATAAGACACCACTCTGACATGACTTGAGTTCCACTTTGTTTTTAGCTTTTGTTTTGTTTTAGTGTAAATACTCTCATTGGTGTACTACCTTCTGGGCAGGTGCAGCCGCTCACACATTCACTGTCTTGAAAAGGAGCCACATTAGAACAAGTTGCAGGGTTGGAGGGTCCACATTCTTTGTAGATATGTTGTTCTGGACATCTTTGTGTTCCTGGAGAAATATAAAAATATGTGTACACGGATATTAGAGGAAACTAATGTAATAAATACACACTCTTCTAAGGAGGAGCTTTTCAAATGGAATTCTTTGAGTCTGAGTTACAAGGTAGAAGTCAGCCTTTAAAGATACTCAGTACAACTAAATTATGCCAATTTCCTGTGCATTATTTTATGATACAATATCTAATTTACAGGAAATATATATTTTCTGTAATTTCATTTCATCGTAAGTTGAAATTTATATTCTGCTTGTATTATGAGGATTGACTTAAGCATATGTGGAAAGTATGTTTGTATATGAAGCTCGTATTTACACTTTATTAATCTTTTTGAAAGAAAATGATAGCACTAATCAGTATACATTTGATAAATTGTCCAGTTATTTTTTACAGAATTTACTTGTGGTTTTCAGTGACTTTTTTTGATTGTAATGAGTACAACATTTTAAATTAGATCTTAACACAAAGCACTGCAATTTGAGGTGAGTCACATCACCTAAACGAACCTGTTTCCTTGTAAGTACATGTGACAAATGAGACTTCATCATCTCTAGGATCCCCTTCCAGGGCTTAGAATCATTTGAGATTACATTGCAATGGAGCTTAACTTCAAAGTACTGTATACCTATGTATCAAACCTGCATGTTGTGCACATGTACCCTAGAACTGAAAGTATAATTTTAAAAAATAAGAAAAAAAATACTGTAGAAACTTACAGAGCTGTAACTACAATGAAGGTAAAAACCTACCACAAACCACATCGGAGTCGCTTCGCCAGGATTCAAAGGTGCCAGGACCATCTGAGGCACAGAGGCGGGACAGTTCTGAATAAGTGTCACATGTAGATGTTTTGTCTCTAGTTTGGCAGTATTCATCAATGCAGATCATTTTGTAGTCATTGGATAGAGCAGCAACCTTTCCACATTTCTCAAAGTAGGTTCCAATAATTTTGTTACAGTGCTACAAAATAAAGCATGTTATTTTATTAAAACGGGCAATAAAAATAAGAAAAATGGGCAATAAGGATAATGGGCAATAAGGAATCGTTTAAAGGATAAATACAGAAGTTTTTTGTTTTTGTTTTGCATTATATCCTGTAGCTTTGACAAGGAAAGTGCTTGGATGCTGTTTGAAATAGAGGTTTTTGAAGTATTATGGTTGGTAACATGACTCCTAAATGAATACTGTTGGATTCTTGGCATTTTGGATTGTTGTATAACGATGTTCATTGAAATGGAGGTTTTTGAAGTATTATAGCTGGTAAAGTGACTCCTAAGAGAATACTTCTGGAAACTTGGCATCTTGGATTGCTATGTAATGACTTCAAAATTTATTGTACTTCAGCTTATCCAAACCATCTTTAAAGGTGACATGAATTTTAGAGCTAGAGAAAATGGAAGCGGTGAGAAGAGAGATTGATTAATGCCAAAGATTGGGATGGTACTTGATAGAATACCATAATAGACAGAAGGGATATTGTCCCTTTAACTGTTAATCTCCTCATATTTTATAATCAAACAGATGACCATAAAATAAAGTGACTCTGTCCTTTCTTAGTCGGAGTCATGGGTATTTGCTCTGGGAACAACATATTTGTTCTGTTTCAGTAAAAGAAGTAATGACATATATTATTGAATGAAAAAAGTTCTAATTTCAACATAGTTCAACCACCATATAGCTGTTTTCTATTGTAATAATTTGTTTGTTTTTAGAGAAACAAAAAAGCTACTGTCGAACAAATGTACAATTTTTTTAATTATTATTATTTTTGAGACAGAGTCTCGCACTGTCTCCCAGGCTGGAGGGCAGTGGCGTGATCTCGGCTCACTGCAACCTCCACCTCCCAGTTCTAGCAATTCTCCTGCCTCAGCCTCCCGAGTAGCTGGGATTACAGTTGCCCACCACCACGCCCAGCTAATTTTTTGTGTTTTCAGTAGAGACGGGGTTTCACCATGTTGGCCAGGCTGGTCTTGAACTCCTGACCTCGTGATTCACCCGCCTTGGCCTCCCAAAGTCCTGGGATTACAGGCATAAGTCACCTCACCCGGCCCGAACGTACAATTTGTACCAACTAGGCTGGAGGCAGGCTGATAACATTCTCCAAATGAGGTATAAAATTAAGTGAAACAAAATCTTCAAATATTACTCTTCACCTATTTATTTTTTGTACATTTTTCTCACTAGATTATAGATTTCTGTAGAGTAAGAAATATGAATTTTTATGCTCTGGGCTAAACACAATATCTTGTACATAAGTTGAATATCTTGTACATAAGTTGGTCCTTAGTAAATATACATTGGTTTGAATGTAAATTGATGTAATCATTTAACTAACACTTTTGAGCAGCAAGGAATAAGTTTTCAACGTATTATGCAACTACCGCAATGTATAATCCCTATTATCATGGAACTTCTAATTTTATGGGGAACATATGAGAAAAACTTGGGCAATTTTTATAGATGGTATCTTATTATAAGTACCAATGAGAGCCATAAGGTAAAAAAAAAAGAAAGAGAAACCAATTCCAACTGCAAAGATCAAGTAAGATTTCACAACGAAGATGCCAGATGATCTTGTATAATGCCACTGTGTAATTTTTTTTTGCTGTAAGATGACTGGATGGCTATAATTGCAACACCCTCTTTCAATAAAACAAAAATATTTTTATCAATACTAGCCACACATTTCTTGATCTTGAGAATTCTATTCTAGTTGCAATAGGAATGTGTGAACATTCATTCAGTCACCAAATGGATGCAGTCTATCAAATTCAACATAATAGCATTACAGAAGTGCAGAAAATTCACAGAGTAAATGATAACTATTTGCAAATGCTGTTGTCAAAAATATTATCTGTAACTTTCTTAAAAAGAAAGTAAAATATATGAGGGATGACAATTCAGACTGGCTATCTGGGGCGAAAGTAAGGGAGTGGAACATAATGGATTTCAAAACTGTAAGAGAGGAATCAAAGACAGTACCCATCAAGAGATGACAGCGCAAAGGTGAAGCATGTCAGTTTCCATAAAGACAAACTAAAACACTATGCAAAGGAAATTATAATTGTTACACTAATATATGGTAAATATCATAGTGTTTGGGAGGGAAATTATTTTGGCACATACAGCTAGACTAAAGCTGAAAAACAGAAAATAGGAACATTGGAGAGGAATTAGTTACAGAATTCTAAGAAGAAGATATGAGTGCTTAGGAGAATATGGAACCAAGGGCTTAAATTGGAACCAAGGGCTACAAAGCCATGGTAATAAAAACAGCATAATAATGGCATAAATACAGACACACAGACCAGTGGAACAGAAGAGAGAGCCCAGAAATAAATCCAAACATACACTGCCAACAATCTTTGACAAAGGCACCAAGAAGACACAATGGTGGATAGGATGGATTCTTCACTAAACGGTGCTAGAAAAACTGGTTTTCCACATGCAAAAGAATAAAATTAAACCCATATATTATACCATACACAAAAATCAATTCAAAATTAATCAAAGACCTAAATTTAAGGCCAGAAAATATAAAATCTCAAAAGTAACACAGGAGAAAAGGTCCTGCACATTGGCCTTGGTAGTGATGCTTTGGATATCACACCAAAAGCTCAGGCCACAAAAGCAAAAATAAACAAGTGGGACTGCATCAAATGGTGCTTCTGCATAGCAATGAAACAATTAACAAAATTAAAGCATAGCCTAAAAATTGGAGGTGAAATTGTAAACCATATATCTGATTAAGGGTTAATATCCAAAATTTATAAAGAACATATAAAACTCAAAAGTGGAAAAAGAAATAAACCAATTAAAAATGGGCAAAAGACTTAAATAGACATTTCTCAAAAGAAGACATACAAATGGCCAACAGGTATATGAAAGGTCCTCAACATCATTAATCATCAGGGAAATGCAGCTCAAAATCACCAAGAGATACCACCTCACACCTGCTAGGATGGCTATTATCAAAAAGTTAAAAGATAACAGAGCTGGCAAGAGTGTGGAGAAAAGGCAAGTCTTATACACTGTTGGTGGAAATGTAGATTGGTACAGCCATTATGAAAAACATGATGGAGATTTCTAAAGAGATTAAAAATAGAACTACCCGCCGGGCGCAGTGGCTCACGCCTATAATCCCAGACCTTTGGAAAGCCAAGGCGGGCGGATCACTAGAGGTCAGGAGTTTGAGACCAGCCTGGCCAACATGGTGAAACCCCATCTCTACAAAAAATACAAAAATTAGCCAGGCCTAGTGGCATGTGCCTGTAACCTTAGCTACTCGGGAGGCTGAGGCAGGAGAATCCCTTGAACCAGGAAGGCAAATGTTGCAGTAAGCAGAGATCATGCCACTGCACTCCAGCCTGGGTGACAGAGTGAGACCCTGTCACAAAAAAAAAAAAAAAAAAAAAAAGGAACTAATATATGACCCAGCAATCCTTCTTTTGGGCATATACCCAAAGGAAATGAAATACCACCTTGTAAAGATATTTGCACTCCTGTGTTCATTGCAGCATTAATCATAATAACTAACATATGGAAACAACCTAAATGTTCACAAATAAACAAATGGATAAAGAAACTGTGGCTCATATATGCACAATGGAATATTATTCAGCCCTAAAAAAGAACAAGATCTTGCCATTTGGCATAACATGGATGAGCATGGATGACATTATACTAGTGAAATAAGCCAGAAACAGGAAGATGATCATGCAACATCTTTATGTGTAATCTTTTTACACATAAAGATGTGCAACACCTACATGTGTAATCTTTTTTAAAAAATTAAGTCTGGAGAAATAGAGAACAAAACAGTGGTTACAGGGGCTGGGGGAGTCTTGAGATCTAATGTACAATCTGAAGACTGTAAGTAATAAAATTGTACTGTATCTGGGATTCATGCTAAATGAGCAGATTTCAGCTGCTCTTACCACAGAAACAAACAAACAAAAAAAAGTTGAAGTATCTTTCAGATGAGATGATGGATATGTTAATTTGCTTCCCTGTAGTAAATTTTTTACTATCCATGTGTATCACATACCAGACAAACATATATACATGTTGTCTATCTTAAATATACACAATAACATTTATTTTAAAAAAGAAACCAAGGGAACTATTGCTAGAATTTGCTACACAAGGAAATATAAATTTCTTACCTGTATTCCATCTTCACAAACTTCATAGCTTTTACCAACAGCATTGGGACAATCACCAGGAATTTTACTATTGGCAATGTGCTCATTAATATCTTGCCCTTAAAAAGAAAGCATTGTTTAGTTTAAGTTATTCTTTTTATGTGTGCATTATTTTCAAGCTACATATGAACTTGGCAATGTAAATTTTTTTTTCATTTTAATGAGTTCTCATTCTTTAGACAAAAGAAAATTGAAAAATTATTTTAGTTTTTAGCTTTATTTTGGAAAGCAAGTTCTTAGGAATGATACATTGGAATGTTACCTGGAGTGCTGTTGAAGTTACCACAAAGACCACAAGTTGGATACTGCTTGTGAAGAGTGAGCTTTAAAAATAAATTACATGTATATGTTCATGAAATGTTAAACATATCTCAAAACAAAATGTACCCAAACCAAAGGGCCACGCCTCCTCAAATACAATTCTATCTAAGCTGGTTACTTAGAGATGTTAGAGGGCTTTTTCTTAAGGACCTGGCTCTGGAATTTGAATAGGTCCTGAGGCCACCATTTACTAACTATGTGTCTTTGAAAAAATTATTTGGTACAAAAGTAATTGCAGTATTTGCCATTTAAAAGTAATGGTCAAAACTGCAATTACTTTCGCACCAGCCTAATAACTTTCTTACTCTGCATTTCCTGAGTTTCATCATTTGCAAAATATTATTAATAGTATTTTAAGATATTTTGAATATTAAATGAGATAATGTTTAGTATAGTGACTAATACATAGAGATTTCTCAATAAGCCTTAGCTCTTACTTCCCTAATAATGTATTGTTTTTGTAACTTAACTAAAGGACAAAAAGCACAGGATTATAAGAAAATCATAGATAGACTTACCGAGAGTTTGTTATTTTTGTCCCACATTAAAGTCAGGATTCCTCTACGGCTATTCAGAACATTATGTTCTCCATATTTTTTTATGTGAATCAACTTATTGTTATATGGTATCTGTACAGTGAAAAATATAAAATACAAGTATATGTAAAAAGGTAAGAATCATGCTATTATAATATGTTTTCTGATAATTCATGTCACCCAACAATTTAGTATCTTATACTTGCTGGTAAATATTGAAGTTTTTTTTATCAATTCAGAAAAAGAGAAACAATGGCTTTTTTGAATATTGGAAGAACTTCTAAAAAACAACTAATAGATCCTTGGGGCTTTGGAGAAATTAACAGGATGAAACATTGGTTTGGTGTCAGAAAAAAATAACTTGAAATGTTCACAAGTAGAATATCATGCCTCATTTTCTTATCCTGGAAAGTATTCAAATATGCCATCCCTTCCAAATCTGAATTGCTCCCTCTAAAAATTATGGACTAAGAGTTTTAATCTCCTCAATTTCTAACTTATAAAATCTTAAATTTATACTTGGCGTTAAACTTGCAAATGAAAACTGAAATGTCCTGAGATGTTCAACAAAAATATTCAGTTTTGTTGAATACACGTTTCCCATAATCTAGATAGTCAGTATACTCAAACAACAGAATTTTTTTCCTTCTTGTTACAGGAATAAATATAATGTCTTACAATCCGAAATAGGTCAAAGTCTTACACATTTATCAAACTCTTGGCCAATGATCAATTATAAATATCGATAAGAGCATCAAAATAGGAAGAAAGTATCATCTCCCTTTTTATCTTTTTCTTTTTTTTTTCCTTTTTTGCTCAGGTTACTTCAAATAATTTTATATCATTTACCCAAAACACTACGTTATTTACCTTTCTCCATTAACTAAAATGGTGTCACCAAAAATAGAGACGTCGTTATTGTCAATTAGAACTGTTATTTTTTCAATCTCACTATCATTGTTTCGTTTGATCTCAATATTGAAATCCCCTCCAGATTCAATGCAGTGACGGCAGAAAGTGTATGGGCATGAAGATTCAAAGAAAAAGATGCGGCCGTTGAAAGATTTATATGCTCCTTTGCTCCAGGTAGATATTTCACCTATAAAATATTCAGAGGAACGTGTACATAATTATTTAGAACAATTAGCATACCTTCTAGGTCTGTTTTAAAGTGTTTTTGTCCTAAGAGAAATAAAATCACTGACAGGTTCAATTCTCACAGCCACCACCTTAAATCAGTGCTTTCTTTCTTTCACTACTGCAAAGACTCACTAAAACTAGTACATGAGTACTTCTTTAGCATACCCTAAGTTGGCTATTCTGGCTAAAATAAAGCAAGATTTAAAACATCTTGCTTCCCATAGGAAAACAAAAATTGTCTCTAATATGGGAAGGAATATATGGAGGGAAGTGGTGGTTTGTATGCTTTCTTGCTTTGCTTTTTTTGTAGAGATAGTTTTTCTAAGTCTGAATGAAGTCCCATTTATATTGAATGAAGGTAAAGAATTATGTCATTTATCTCTATACATATAAATGTGTGTATATATGAATGTGTATAGATGTATGTATATATGTGTGTGTGTATACATGTTTTTTTGGAGAAAAAATAGTACAAATGCGATATCACTCAAACATACAACGATTAAACAGACAGATGATGGGGACATTTTAAAAACTAGTTTCAGGCTGGGCACAGCGGCTCATGCCCGTCATTTCAGCATTTTGGAAAGCTGAGGTGGGAGGATCATTCGAGGCCAGAAGTTCAAGTCTGACTGGGCAACATAGCAAGACTCTGCCTCTACCAAGAAAAAGGAATATCCAGGCATGGTGGTGCCTTCCTATAGTCTCAGCTACCCAGGAGGCTAAGGCACGAGGATTCATGCCCAGGAGTCAGAGGTTATGGTGAGCTATGATTTCACCATTGCACTCCAGCCTGGATGACAGAATGAGACCTTGTAAATAAATAAATAAATAAAACGAGTTTCAAATTTTGTAAATTTGATTCTGTGACCTCATTAGGTACTGGCTTGGGCATAAATATATGAATGAATATCACAACCATTTTTACTTACCAATAATTGCATTTGTTTCTGAGTATTTTGGAGTTGCTTCTGGAATGTGGGATCCTTTTTCTATTCAACACAATGCACAGATTATTTCAATGTTAAGACATATATTCATTTTAAATATACAAGATATTGGAACTTCTACATGGGAACTTAAAAGTGGGCATTGAAGGCCATCAATGAATTTTTTATTCTGTATATTATATGACACATATAATAGATAACTTTGTGAGAGCTGGGACTTGCCAAAGTCACATACATGATTAACTCTACAGTCTACACTTTTTCAGTATGTTCACGAATCATTAAGAGCTTATGCATTTGCGGTCCTGTACAATTACTAACATATGCTGCACCCCTTAAAGAAATATTTTTCAACTTTAGAAATAAAACATTGCATGCTTATTTTTATCAGGAGCCATGACACAAATAGGACCGAGGTACATTTTAGTAAATCAGTCTATTATCTAATACTAATAATTTAATTATCTATAAGGAAAATTCAATTCTCCCACTCACAGGGCAAAATCTGTATACTTTAAAACTTTACATTTCCCATGATTGTTTATATCTAATGACCCTTTTTTGTAACAAATAAATTTATATTGCCTAAAAGCAAGCAACAACAACAATAACAAAAGTAGATGTTCTGATAGAATTGTAAAATCTTTTCCAAAATACTCTTTATCACCTATCTTGAAGCTTCTTCTCTTTACTACAGGTTGTATTTACTCAGACTGAGTGGAAATATATTGAACTCCTAATTTATTTATGAGGGCATTTAAAAAATACTATGTCTAAAATAGTAAAGGAGTTGTAATATGTTTTATTCGAATTCCCTTAAAATGTGGTTTAATCTCTCTATTTCATGAAATTGTTTCAAATACTTAGTTGGCCATCTAAACTTTAGTATCCAAAGAGAAGTAGCACTTAAGAGTTCAATATGAGAAAAAATAATATCAAGTCCTAGTAAATCAATAATCAGCAGAACATTACAACATTGTAAGTGTATATATATGTGTGTACCTTTTAAACACCCAAAGTCATAAATCAGATTACCTGGAGTATTGAGTGGTCCAGACGTACTATATTCAGACGAGCTTGTGACACCTATTTTAATACAAATTATCAGGCTATTTTATGTGTATAATTTTACTTGGTAAAGTGATTTTTAAAGACTATCTGACGGATAGACCATAGGTCCTAGTCCAGCAATGCTAATGCTAGCAGACTAAGACTGTGTAAAGCTGTACAAGAAAAAAAATATCAACTCAAAAATTTGCTGGGGTAAGAAAATTAAATGCCTTGCCTCTAAATTAACTGACACCAAATCAATTTTTTTCTAGATCATTTGTCTTAAAACTTGTCAAGGGTAACAGAAAAGAGTTCAGTACACAGGGTTCTAGGTCTCCTATCCCAGTGTCAACCAAACTGTTTCCCATTCTGAATTGTTTTACTTTTAGGAAACCTGGGTACTATTTCAAGAGGTCAATTAAACAAAAGATTCTGCACTCACAGAAACCAGAAATATGAAAACCACTAATCTAAATGAACTGACACCTTCATTAATGTCAAGAGATTCAGACATCCCATTTCAAAGCCACCAGATTTACTGCCATTAGGAACACTACCCAAAATAACACTACTTAGTAAAGTCTATCTCACGTGGAAAAATCAAAGCAGTTAAAATCTAACATCCAAATAGCCAAAAAAAAAAAAACACCACAAATTGGTAACCACTCCACACTAGAAACATAAGATGTAATTATTCTGAATACATTTCTCAGAAAGAAAACCTATATTTGAATACCTGAGCTAATGGTAGCCTATTTGGAGTTCCTAAATTAGGTGTCTTTTAAACCATTTGTACCAACTGTGATTAAAAAAAATCTGTGCCAATAAATAATAAATGACTTCAAATTTCTTAGTTCTATGGAAGTGTTGACTTCAAAACTGATGTCCAAAGTTTAAGAACGACCAAAATTAAAATTATTATTTCTGTATGGCCAGGCCTTTCTTGGAACAGGTTAATTGATAGTCAATCCTGTGTCAGGTCAACTGTTACTACACTACACTGTACGTCTTGCTCATTACATTTCACTTTTTAAGAAAAAGATATTAATCCTGAAGTTGAATTCTAAAGATTAATCCTGAATATTTTCCAGAACCTCCATTTTACTGGAAGTGATCCACTGCCCCCAGTTCTATTGTCGCCTACTTTAGTGGTTCCCAGGACATTCCAGCCCTGGTAACAGCATCAAAACAGTTTCTGCATCAAGAATACATATTATTTTAACAATTTGTACTACAAATTCCAAGACTATACAATCAAATGTTTTCATTAAGTGGAAATATTAAATTTTATAAGGATTTTAAAAATGGATGAAAGTCTTACTCTTCTCAGCAATGGGCTTGCAAAGAAAATTAAAGCCGCCAAGTCCAGATTTGGGATACAAAGTTTGAGACCAACAGTTCAGCTGCTACTTTAACTATCTCTTCAACTGACTCTAAATCAATTTTACATAAAAGCAACAAAAAGAATTCCACATTGATATATTCACAGCTGTGAAACCGGTTCCACATCTTACTCCAACAAATGTTAAATATCATTTGCCTGATTACATCTAAGTATATTTCAACATTCAAGAATGCAGACTTGCTTTTAAATTACTATTAATAGTGTTTCCAATTTTCATTGTTATTGTAAGATGTATCTTAGAATTCTGATTTTCTGATCATCAGAAATCTCAACACCTATGCCATAGGAATAAGATCCAGTAACATTGCTTCCATTATCACAGGTACCTGAACCACTAAGGCCAGTTTCACCAAATTCATTTAGTCCAGAAGCACCAACACCAAGTTCATCTGCACTCTTACCTCCTCCACCACTTCCAGAATCAGAAGACCAAGTGTTTCCTCCTAATGGAAATCAAAATGTGAGTAAAAGAAATAAAGAAGAAAGAAATTAATTGGAATTTCTTGGAAATAGAGTCCAGGTTAGGATACCTGAGTCACTGACATCAGATCCAGGACTCAAGTTTCCAGCCTCATCAGGGTCACTGCTTCTCTTTCTATTCCCACCAGTTCTACTGAGTTCAACTTCATGTTGATCAGATGACCCCAATATGACTCCTGAATCTTCAGAGATACCACTAGAATTTTCAAACCCATTTCTTGCACTTGAATCACCTGTTGAATACAAAATTATGGTCACTAGAATTACTTTCAATGCCTACTATGATTCAGAATCATTCGTGCACAGAAATTAACAATTAGTACCTAGCACTATAGCCTCCAGAACTACCTACTCCATTTCCATCAAAATCTTTACTACTATTGCCATTGTCACCAGATTGATTTGAACCAGAATCTCTAAAGTTAAATTCAGCTCCACCCTTCGTTTCTCCAAGTCCAAATTCAAACAACCAGGACTTTTCCACTGGTGAAGAAATAAAATGTTAATAAAATAATGGGTGAAAGGTTGAAATCAATTTAAATTTCACCAGAGCAGAGTCCAGGACTAAACCACCTGCGCCACTGACATCAGATTTACTGCTGCTCTGCTCATTCCAACCAGATCCACTTGTTCCAAATCCCTTTTGACCAAATTTCTCCAAACCGAAGCCCAAATTTTCTGCTATGTCACACACACAAAAAATCCCTTTTTTATTGCACTGGTACCAATTACATGATATAAAATGGTTATCATCAGAATGCATTTCAATAAGTTTATGATTCAAACTTTAATGCAAAGAAATTAAATATCGATACCTAAATCACTAGAACTAGATTCTCTAGTAACTTTTATTCCATTTTCACTAAGCTCATTACCACCAAATTTCCTTGAACCAGAATACTTAAAATCAAATCCAGCTCCAACTTTTTTTCCTCCAAGTCCAAATTCAAGAGACTCAAGCATTCCCACTAACAGAAAAATCAAAATATTTTTAAATAAATGAATATTTGGAATTCAGGTGGATATCTCGGGAACAAAACTGGCTAGAATACCTGAGCTACTTGAATCAGATCCAAAACCTTTGAATCCAGCCTCAGCAGATACACTGCCACTCATTCCATTCCCTCCAATTTCATTGATTCCAAATCCCTCTTGACCAGAATCCCATAAATTGGATATCGAATTTAGAGAGCCACCACCAACAAATTGATTCTCACTTCTGAAACTGGTATCACCTGCAGAATATAAAATAATTGTCACTGTGCATTGAAAATATTTTATGACTCAGACGTTTTTATGCACAAAAGTCAGATATTAATACCTAGATCAATGGAAACAGATCCTCCAGAACTACTCGTTTGATTTCCTTCAACTGTTTTGCTACTAATGCCAGTGTCACCAAATGAATTCGAATCAGAAACTTCAAAACCAAATGCAGCATCACCTTTCCCTGCTCCAAGTTTCAAACCAGAAGAACCAGTTCCAACTAATGGAAAATCAAAATGTGATTAAAGTTAACATTAATTAATTAATCTTGTTGTTAAGTGACATTAAAATAAAAGCATCTTAACCAATTAATTAACTGAATCAATCTAAAATTTTGAGGATTGAGTCTTAGTTGGAATACCTGAGCTACCTGCATCAGGTCCAAAGACTATGGTTTCACCCCCAGCAGATCCACTGCCTCTAGTTTCTCTCCCATCAGCTTTACTGACTTCCAATCCCTTTTCATCAGATATCCCCCAACCAAATCCCACATCCAGAGAGGCACCACTGCTACTAAAGCCAGCACCATATCTTGTGTTGGTGCTATCTGTTGAAAACAAAAGAAAGAAAGAAAGAAAGAAAAAAATCATTGTCACCAAGGGAGTATTTTAACACATCTTATGATTCTTTATTTTGATGCAAAAACCTGAATAGTAATATCCAGATCACTGGAACTTGATTTCCAGTGCTCTGTATTTCATTTTCACCAAAGCCTTTTGTTGAAGACCACTGACACCAACTGAGCCAGAATTACCAAAACCAAATACTAATTCACTCTTCTTTTCACCACCAACTCCAAAATCAAAAGGCAAAATGTTTCTGCTTAATGAAAAATTAAAGTGTTATTGGGAGTAATATAGAAAGAATAAGAATTATTTGTATTTTACATTAATAGTCTCTGGATCAGAATTCCTGAGTCACTGACATGAGCACCAAGGTCAATGGATTCACAACTAGTGAACTCCTTGTTCTTGTTTCTACCAGTGTTCACATCTTTTCAGGTAAATTGCTCTAAATCAAAAATACCTAGAGCTACTATGCATTCTTGTCATTCACTTCCTTCATTGGCTCTAGTTTCTGAATATGAAAGGCTATTCACCCATACTTTTGTAAATTTATTTTCTCCAGCCTTCTTTTTCAAGAAAACTAGTTCAAATATGGGTAATGGGATTTTAAAAGTTGACATGGTAGATGTCATTCAAACATAAGAGCCCAAGATTTATCTGTTCCAGATGACAAAATTTGGGAACAAGAGAGGTTAAATGGTTTTCCCAAAGGTTAGTGTGAAAGACTGGGGATAGAAACTCTTCTTCCCAGGTCTAAGCTCCTGGGAAGTCTCAATCCTACTTGCCTCTTCACTAAATTGTTTAAATTACTGATTTCTGTTGAAGTTAATATAGATTTTTTATGAACCAGACAAAGAGTTTACAAATTTTTCTCATTAATTCCTCTAACAGTAAATCTGTATTTGTCAAAAACACCACCAATTCCTGCTTTGCTAATTAAATCAATTAATTAATTGATTATTCTGACAAAAGCATAAACTAAGAAACAACACAGAGTACCTGGTTTCCCTGGCAGCAGAGTCAGAGTCAGCTAATGCATTTACTGAACCTACATCTAATCCATTTTGATCGGGGACCCCTACCAATTTAATTTTGATTTGAAGCAGTACCACCAAACAGTACCACCTGCTGAACTGGTTTTATCTGCCATACAGAAATACAATCATTACCACAGAAAAGTTGTATTCATTCATACAATACAAGAAATTAATCCCTGCACACTGCTTGAAGCAGAGCTACATTTTAGTTTCTGATATATTCCTTGATCTCCCTTATTCCATATCTTTCCATATATAATTCTACGTAGTAGAATCAGGAGTAAGAATGGCAACCAATTTACTATGAGATTTGAAATAATTCCATAAGAAAGGTGAAACTTTGGGGCCATCAACGATAAACTTATTGTGCTCTACAGAACATGAGAAAATGACTAACACCTAATGTAAACAAGTGTAAATGGATCTGTCTTGTCTCCTTAGTCCTACTGAGTTTGTCAGTCCCAAAACAGGTGAGCGGAAAATAGAAAATTTTGTGTCCTTCATAAAGATATTACATCCAAAGCTGTTTCTGCCTTTTCACCTCAGAGACAAAACTATTAATGTTTAATGTAAAATATAGAACTTATTTTCCTCACTGGGACTGCTTCCTTCCCATTTTATAGAGGTACAAACTATAGAGATTTCAGGGACCAGGCAAGTACAGCAAAAATTTGAGTAGAACAGTAGGAAAAATTGTATTGAACCAGCAGGACCCCACCTCACCTAAACAAATTTAAATTTTTTCCTCTGAAAAACAAAATTGCAGGCCACAAACTGTTTAGGAACTGTTCCTTATCATATCACTCAACAAACTGGATATGTTAGTTTAATAGAGAATCATGATATAGAAAATCAATTGTGGTTAGATACAGAGAGAAACATGAGTGGACAGAATCTATACTACATTTGGGCCCAGGAAGCATTTTTGATTATTAACTTATACAGTAAAAATGTCAGAAAAATAATTCATCATTAGAATAATAGTACCAAGTATGAAGAGCACATATGAAAATAATTATCAGGAGAACAATTAATTTAATGTATACATCTTTGCCAACATTCTCTAAAGACAGAATTTATCACTCTCATTGGCCTTGAAATCAGTGCCTTTAGAGTATCTATGACTATTAAAGCCATGTGCTGCAAACAAAAGAAAGATTATCAGATGATCCAAAATGAAAACAAAAAGCACTTGTTTGCTAGGTAAGTATTTTTTTCTGGAACAGTACCTGCTGGGCTGTCTTCTGACCTTGAATTCCCAGCATCCCAGCGTTCTCTGGACTTGTCTTCATCCTCTCCTGTAGCACCAAATTCAAAGCTAAAGAGTGGCTTTTTTTTGTCTGAGTCACCAGAGGATGAACTACCATAAAAAAAGCCACCTACAGTGAAGAAAAAAACACTTACATTGCCAGCACAGACTAAAAAGGTAGTCTAATTATGACACCATGAAGAGCCACATTTTATTTTGAGTAGGTCTCATTATCCTGACAACACTTGGAACAATATACACCACTGGTTGACTTAATCACCTTATCTGCATCTTTTGGTCATGGTTCTAAAACTTCAAGAAAGAGAGGAGAATCAAGCTACGAAGATTCAATAATTGATGTGTACTAGATACTCTTCTCCTGGACAGAGCAGAAACTCCCCAGTCTGCTTCCTTCCCCATTCCTAAGCCCCAAGTTCTAGCATCCCACTTCCCCCAATCAAAATATTCTGCCATGTTGAATCCACATGGTCCTTGGCTACTGTTCTTTATAGCTGATAAAATGAAGATAACATGCCTGATTCTCTTTTCTGTATTTCTGCAAGGAAGAAAGCATGTAAACATTTAGTCATGAATTAATTGTAGCATCCACCTCCTTAAGTTTCATCTCAATGAGGCACACTCTGACAACTTAAAATTGCAACCCCACTCCACTATTACATTCCCAATAACCATTATATTACTCTATTTTATCCCATAGATTTTATCACCTTGTAATACACAAGGTAAAATATATCCCCTTGGGATGCACCTTTTATCACTGTCTATAATGCTTATTGAGTATTAACTGTACCCTTCTTCTACATTTTAAGCTCCATAAACTCAAGTTTTCTTTGCCTGTTCTATGGAGAGAGGGATTTCAGGTGCCCAGACCAGTGCCTCAACAATAGAGAGCACTCAGTATTTATTTAATAAGTGTAGTCACCAAAAAAGACCACTTCTTAAGGTAATAAACACCTTGTTACATGAAGTGTATATGCTTTCTATCATGCCATTTGTATATTTTTTGAAATCTCTATATAAAATTTAAACACTTCAGAATTAATAACATCTTAATAACTGTGATATTCCTGTAGAGTTGTGGAAGACATAAATTTTGGTCACCAAATAGACCAAAAAATGAAGTGAATGATTTGTAAATAGCACTTGAAGACTGTGTAATCACAAATACAGTAAAATAAGTGGCTTAATTCTGCCTATTAAAATAAGGAAAGAGATTTCTCCCTCCACAAACACCTTTTATTTGATCATTTCCTGCAGAAAACTTGTGTGTACTTTCTCTAGCTCTCTGAAATGTATATAGACATTTTTAAAGACTAAATAAACACCCAAGAATGTTTCTTCAAGGGGCTGGGGGCCAACACTTTGAAATGTAGTCATAAGGAAGATGCTTCCCTATCTCCTAAATTCCTCGGAGGTAGGATGCTAACTTCAGCTGGTGTTTGGCTACAAATCACAAACCTACCTCCAGTCATAATATACAAGAAATTAGTTCTTATTTTAAAGCAATCAGTAAACACAGATGGCTACCCCAACTACCATGTAAATGTAGGATGAACCTTGTAGCTAATGATGCTGTCAAGTCTGCTCAAAAACTAGTTATTTCTTATCTTCACAACTTACATGTAATTGTTTTATCTGCTTGTTTTATAAAAAAGAAATATTTCTGTGTGTCTGCAATCTTTATAGCGAGATGCCTGTCAGAACAGGTTTTCAGAGGTGGCAGGAGACTGTTTTTAAAGACATTTCCCCAACAACCTCTCTTGGAATTCTTAGCCATTTTCCATGTTTCTAGCAAGTATATCTCTACTTTTCTAAAACTAATAGGAAAAATAAAATATGTCTGTGATTATAAGAATAGTCAAAATAATAATCTATTATGTAGTGTTAGGGAAAGGCATTCAACATTCAAGAGATTTTGAAATTATAAAATTTGCATGTAGGTGTTTGTTTTAGGACTAAAGCAATGTTTAAATTATGAACAGCCAATATATACTATTGTTTTATTACCTAACCCTTCAACCACTATTACCTGTACTACTCTTCCTATATACAGTATTTCCCTTCTTTCTCTCCTCTTTCCCTCTATCTACCATTCTTCACTACACACTCTTCTTTTTCTCTTTTACCATCTTTCTTATTGTCTTTTTCAATGTGATGTAGTTTCAGAGCTGCATCTTAATATATAAATATTTTAGTTTGGTGGCAAAGCAGAAGGAAGCAAAGCAGTATTCAGTCAGAGCAAAAGTATAAACTCTGCATCTGGGTTCCTCCATTTGCAATTGGTAGCCTTGGATAGTAGCTCTCTTCCACTCAGGCAACAGGGATTCTTGTTCTGGTCTACCCACATCTTCCTCTGGCCTTCCTGGGGTCATGCCACTCCTCAGAGAGCACAGAATACAGGCCAAGAGTGAAGGGATTATGTCTACCCAGAGCCTGCGCTATCCCAGTCTCCCTTTCTGGATCACATTCTAGGGCCCCAGGGCTGCAGTCCCTAGTCTGCTACATGGGCATGCACGGGCATGTTTCCTAAGACCTTCTTTTCCAAGGTGAGACCACATTGCAAATACCATCCCCTAGGTCTGAGGGATGGAGAAGGGGTGGTCAGTGTGCAGAAGGAGATGGACTGAGATAGAAAACCTGGGATGTCCCTCCCAGTACGGGAATAAGCCAGAGACAGAAGGAGCATGACTGTGGAGACTTTAGCCAGGACACAGTCCTCACGGATCTTGCATTGAATTCCAATAAACCTAAAAATTCTGCATTGGATCCTGCCTTCCAGGTTGTCACAAGTGTACTTTTGTCAAGGTAGAAAAAGCAACACATTTTATGTCCTATTATGTTCCTTTATTGGTAACTTTTAATTATGTATATACCTGCATTTATACTCTTGACCATGACTGGGCCCTTGGCCTGTCCTCAGCTAACCAAATTAACATTTTTAAAACAAAGTTTCCTTAAACAAAGTTTATTTCACTATTAAATGGGCACTACGTAATGTATGAGGATAAAATATTACCAAACTCATGAAAAGAGATAAAATTTTATGTTCTGCCTAAAGATATTACAACCACATCTCTATACCCAAAGCTATTTCTGCCTTTTTATTACATGGACTCAGATATTAAATTTTCATATAAAATATTGGAGTTATTTATTTCACTGAACCTCTTTCTTTCCCATGTAGAGGTATAAACTCTAAAGATTTCAGAGACTAGGCAAGTACATTGAAAGTTTAAATAGGCCAGCAGGGAAAGATATGTCAAACGAGATTAAATGTCTCACCTAAAGACATTTAAAATTTTTCCTAAAAAAAAAAAAATGGAGTCTACACACTGTTTAGAAACTCAGCTTTATGCTACTATTTAGTAAACTGAGTGTGTAAGAGAGAATCCTAGTGTAGAAAATGAATGGTGGTTAGATTATAAAAATGTGAATGGAGAGATTCTGTAGTACATTTGGGTCCAGGAAGCATTTTAAATTATTAATTTACACACTGAAATATGTCATAACAATAAAGATACTAAATATAAAGATAACATTAAAAATAAATATTATCAGGACAATAATTAATTTAATGTAAACTTTTTTGCCACAATTCTCTAAAGACAGAATTTATCACTCTCACTGGCCCTGGAAATAGCATCTTTAGGGTTTCCACTATTTCTATGCAGGCTTTGTCTTCAATAAAACGTAGGTTATCAGATTATCCAAAATGAAAACAAAAAGCACTTGCTTGCTAGGTACATATGTTTTTCTGGAACGGTACCTGGTGGGGTGTCTTCTGACTTTGAACCTCCAGCATCCTGACTGTCTCCGGACTTGTCTTCAGCCTTTCCTGGAGCACCAAGTCCTAAGCTAAAGAATGGCTTTGTCCTGTCTGAGTCACCGGAGGATGAACTACTGTTAAAAAAGCCACCTACAGCAAATGACAGAAGATGTTATTTGAAAACAGCATTATTAGCACAGAATATAAATGTCATCTGATTATGACATTATGAAAAGCCACATTTTATTTTGTATAAATCCCATTATCCTAGCAGCACTTGAAACAACATATACCACTGGGACTTAATCATCTAATCCATACATTTTGGAAGTTCCTAATCTGATCTACGCAAGTCTCACTCTGGCCTTCCTTGGGTCATGATGCTCTCCAGAGAGCAGAGGCTGCAGGCTGAGGGTGAAGAAGGCATGCCTACCTAGAGCCTGTGTGATCCCCTACCCCATTTCTGGACCATGTTCTAAGTCCCCAGGGCTATAGCCAAACCCGGGATCTGGGCCTGCATGGGCATCTTTCCCAAGACTTTCTCCTCCAGGTGAGACCACATTACACTGATTGAAACCCTAGATCTGAAGGATGGACAGGGGATGGTGAGTGTGTGGAAGAAGATGGACTAAGATAGCAAAGCTGGGGCATCCCTCCCAGTATGGGACTAAGCAGAAAATAGAAAGAGCGAGGCTATAGAGAACTTGCCTAGGGCACAGCCAACCTTATTCTCACATTGAATTCCAGTAAACATGAAAATTCTACATTGGAACCTGCCTTCCGGATTGTCACAAATATATTGTTGTCAAGGAAGGAAAAAAAAAACATATTTTATGTACCATTTTGTTATTTTATTTGTAACCTTTAATTGTCTATATATCTGCATTTATACTCTTGACCCTGACTGTGCTCTTGGCCTGTCCTTGGTTAAACAAATTAACACTTCTAAAACAAAGTTCCCTTAAACAAAATTTATTTTACTATTAAATGAAGACTACATAATGAATGTGGATAAAATAATATCAACCTCATGGAAAGATATAAAATTTTATGTCCTGCCTAAAGATATTATAACCACACCTCCTACACCCAAAACGGTTACTGCCTTTTCATTACATGAACTCCAATATTAAATTTTCATATGAGATATTGAAATTATTGATTTCACTGGACTTCCTTCTTTCTCTTTTTTGTAGAGGTGCAAACCATACAGATTTCAGAGACCAGGAAAATACAGAAAAAATTTGAATTGGCAGGGGGAAGAAATGTGTTAAACAAGTGATATGGTTTGGCTCTGTGGCCACCCAAACCTTATCTAGAATTGTAGTTCCCATAATCCCCACATGTGGTGGGAGGGACCTAGTGGGAGGTAATTGAATCATGGGTGCAGTTTCCCCCATGCTATTCTTGTGATAATAAGTAAGTTCTCAAGATCTGATGGTTTTATAAGAGGCTTCTCCCTTCACTCATTCTTCTCTCATTCTTCTCTCTCCTGCTACCATTTGAAGAAGCATGTGTTTATTTCCCCTTCTGCCATGCTTGTAAATTTTCTGAGGCCTCCTCAGCCATGTGGAACTGTGAGTCAATTAAACCTCTTTTCTTTATAAATTACCCAGTCTCAGGTATCTCTTCATAGCAGCATGAGAATAAAACTAATACAAAAAGAGATGAAACACCTCACCTAAAGATATTTAAAATTTTATACAGCAAAAGATGAAATACCTCACCTAAAGACATTTAAAATTTTTCCTCCCCAAAAAATTGCAGGCCATAAACTTTTTAGAAACTCTGCTTTATAATATTGTTTAGCAAATTAAGGGTGTAATTTAAAGAGAGAATCCTAATGTAGGAAATGAATGGTGGTTAGATTACAGAAATGTGAATAGAGAGATCTTACACTATATTTGGGTCCAGGAAGAACTTTAAATTATTAATTTATACAATGAAATATATTATAATAACAATAAAGATACTACATATAAAGATAGCATACAAAATAAATATTACCAGGGCAATAATTATTGTAAACCTCTTTGCCAGAATTCTCTAAAGACAGAATTTAGCATTCTCTTTGGAACTAGCATTAGTGCCTATAGGGTCTTCACATTTCTATTAAGGCCACATCTTCAATAAAACAAAGGTTATCATATTATCCAAAAAAAAACCATGCTTGCTATGTAAGTGTATTTTCTGTAACAGTACCTGCTGGGGTGTCTTCTGACTTTGGACTCCCAGCATCCTGACGTTGTCTGGACTTGTCTTCAGTCTCTCCTGGAGAACCAAATTCCAAGCTAAAGAGTGGCTTTTTTCTGTCCAAGTCACCAGAGGATGAACTACCATAAGAGAAGCCACCTACAGCAAATAACAGAAGATTTTATTTGAAAACAGCATTGTTAGCATAGACTATAAAAGTGGTCTGATTATGACACTATCAAAAGCCACTTTTTTATTTTATACAAGTCTTATTATTCTGGCAGCACTTGAACAGCATATACCACCTATCCATGTCTTTTTGTCATGGTTCTAAGACCTTAAGAAAGAGAGGAGAATCAAGCTGTGGAAATTCAATCATCGATGTGTGCTAGAGAGACTCTTCTCCTGGACAGAGCAGAAACTCCCCAATCTGCTTTCTTCCCCATTCATAAGTCCCAAGTTCCAGCATCCCACCTCTTCCCACTGCTATTGTTTAGGAGTTTGTCTCCCCACAACCCATGTTGAAATTTGATCCCTGTGATGGAGGTAGGGCCTGTTGGGAATTCTTTGGGTCATGTGGGCAAACCCCTCAGGAATAGCTTGGGTTGTCCTCCTGGTAATGAGTGAGCTATCGCTCTGTTACTTCCCACAGAGCTGTCATTCCTCCTCGTCCCTCTCTTTTTTTTCCTCTCTCACGGTGTGATCTCGGCAAAGGCTAGCTGCCCTTGGCCGTTGCCGTGAGCGGAAGCACCCAGAGACCCTCACCAGAAGTAAAGGCTGGTGCCATGCTTCTTATACAGCCTTCAAATACAGGAGGTGAATAACCCCCTTTCTTCATAAATTACCCAGCCTCAGATATTTCCTTATGGATAGCAAGGCAAATGAACGTAGACACCCAGCAAAATATTCTGCTATGTTGAATCCACACTGTCCTTGGCTACTGTTCCTTATAACTGACAAAATTAAGATAACATATCTGACTCTCTTTTCTGTATTCCTGCAAAGATGTAACCATTTACTCATAAATTAATTGTAGAGTTAGCCTCCTTCAAGTCTCAGTTTAAATTTCATCTCAGTGAGGCACACTCTGACAAGTTAAAACTGCAACTTCATCCCCACCTTTATACTCCCAAATACCATTATATTTAATATTACTCTATTTTATCCCACAGATTTTATCACCTTGTAATATAACATGTTTACTGCTTATAATGTTTTTTGTTTATTGACTGTATCCTTCTAGGTTTTAAGCTGCATAAACCCAATGTTTCTTTGCCTGTTTAATTCACTGAAGTATCCCAGGTGACAAGAGGAGTGCCTGAACTATACAGGATACTCAATTCATATTTATTTAGTAAATACATTCACCAACAAGATCACTTTTAAGAGAAGAAATACTGTCTTACATGATGCATATGTGCTTTCCATCAAGGCATTTTTTTAAATCTTTACGATAAAATTGAAATACTTTAGAATTAATAATGTCATAATAATGATGACATTCCTGTAAAGTTGTGGAAGACATACATTTTGAACAGTGAATAGACAAGAGAATGAAGCACATTATTTGTGAGTAAAACTTGAAGAATACGTAAGAGCAAATGCAAGTAAAAATAAGTAGTTTAATTCTCCATACTCAAAATAGGAGAAGAGACTTCTCTCCCTACACACTTTTGCTTAGATTATTTACTTTAGAAAACTTGCGATTTCACCCGGGCATGGTGGCTCATGCCTGTAATCCCAGCACTTTGGGATGCTGAGGGGGGCAGATCACGAGGTCAGGAGTTCATGACCAGCCTGGCCAACATGGTGAAACCCTGTCTCTACTAAAAATACAAAAATTAGCTGGGTGTGGTGGCACATGCCTGTAATCCCAGCTACTCGGGAGGCTGAGGCAAGAGAATCATTTGAACCCAGGAGACGGAGGTTGCAGTGAGCCAAGATTGCACCACTGCACTCCAACCTGGTGACAGAACAAGACTCCATCTCAAAAAAAAGAAAAATAAAAAGAAAAGAAAAGAAAAAGAAAACTTGTGATTTATTTCTCTACCTCTCTGAAATGCAATAAAAATATTTTTAAAGACTAGACAAGCACCCCAAGAATGTTTCCCCAAGGGCCTGGCACCATCACTTTGACATGTCATCACAGAGGAAGATAACTTCCCCATCTCCTAGGTTCCTGGGAGGTAGGAGCCTAACTTCAGCTGGTGCCTGGTTACAAATTGCAAACCTACCTCCAGTCATAATATACAAGAAATTTATTTTTTTTCTTTTAAAGACAATCAGCAGACACAGGTGGCCACCCCAACTACCCTGTAAATTTAGATTGAACTATATGGCTAATGGTGCTATGAAGTTCACTTGAGAACTAGTTGTTAATCTTGAGAACATGTATGTGATAGATTACATCTGCTTGGCTATGTCTTTCTGTTTTGGCAATCTTAACCTGTATGTGCATCACATTCTGCTTTAAAGTCTATTCTATAATAAAACTTTTTATTGTAGGAATACAAGTGCTTAAATCATGTATAGTCGATTTATATTATTACCTATATTAGGTAACCTTCCAATGACTATACTACCTTTCTCCACATGCAGTGTTTCCTCTCGTTGTCTCCTCTTTCCCTCTATCCACCCGTGTTTTCCACATACTGTTCTTCCTTTCCTCTTTTACCCTCTCTCTCATTGTCTTTCTTCGATGCCATGTAGTTTCAGAACTGCACTTTAATATATAAATATCTTAGTTTGATGACAAAGCAGAAGGAAGAAAAGAAGTATTTAGCTGTGTGAAAAGTATGCACTTTTCAGCAAACCCATCTGGGCTCCCCTTCTTGCAATCAGTGTGGTCTTGGCCACTACCTCTCTTAGACCTAGGCAAGAGAGGTTACTGCTCTGATCTATGTTGGTTTCATGCTGGCCTTCCTGGGTCATGGCCTTCCTCAGAGAACACAGAATACAGGGTGAGGGTGAAGAGCTTTTGTCTACTCAGAGCCTGTGCATGCCCTTCCCCATTTCTGGACAATATTCTAAGTCCCCCAGGCTGCAGCTCCAAGCCTGCTACTTGGACGTGCACGGGCATCTTTCCTGAGATCTTCTGCCCCAGGTGAGACCACATTGCAAAGACTGAAGCCCTAGGTGTGAGGAATGAACAGAGGGTGGTCAGTTTGCAGAAAGGGGTGGACTGAGATAGGAAAGCTGGGCTGTCCCTCCCGGTGTGACTAAGCCAGAGATAGATGGAGCAGGGCTACTTCTTGGATAGGGCACAGGCAACACTGTTCTTGCATTGATTTCCAATGAATCTAAAAATTCTGCATAGGAAATGTCATTCCAGCTTGCCATGAATGTATTTTTGTCAAAGTAGGAGAAAGAAACCATTTTATTTGCTACTTTGTTCCTTTTATTTGTAACTTTTTTATTATTTACACACTTGCATTTGTACTTTTGCCCCTGGCTGTGTTCTGTGTTCTTGGCCTGTCCTTGGATAAACAATTTAACATTTCTAAAACAAAGTTTTCTTATCTATTAAATGGGGAGTACATCATAAAAAAGGATAAGATCATGTCTGCTTCATAATAGAAGTATTAATTAAATGACTGTATTAAGTGAGATGAGTGCACCTAGTCCAGTGTCTTAAACACAGCATTCAACTGAGATAAACCCTGCCCTTTAATACATATGACTTGTCTCAGCAAACTTACTGCGTCAAACTCATTTAGATGCATTTTATATCACTTATTTAATTCATGATGTGTTTGTTCACCATACTCATCATACCTCTCCCAAGTTCAACCCCAGAGATATATTAGAGTCTTCATTTTATTAGAGCAGTATTTCTTCATTTTAATGTTGACATGAGTAGACCTGGCATCCTAGATATTCAGTGTGTCACATTCGTCTTCACTAACTTTATTAACTTTACTTTATCCCTTTTGTTTTTATTATATAAAACTTGCTCAGAAATATTTGCTGCTGAAGTTATTAGGAGTAATGGTCAGTATGTTTTTCAAATGTACAACATCTGTATGACAGTACTTTGTATGCCTTACTGCTTTAATAGCCTCAATTCTATGGGATAGGTGCCATTAAACTACTTCATTTGTAGATGAGAAAATAGATATTGAGAAGAGACTGACTAATTTGTCTAAGATCACACGGTTAGAAAAATCTGCCAAGAAATCCTTTGCTCTTAAGTGCGATGTACACTGCCTTCATCTTGCTTAAAGACAGGTTGCTTATACAATGCACAAAGATAAATAAAATGTTTATCTACTTTATAGCTTAAGGATAAATAGAATGTTTATATTTTTCATAATAAAGTCATACTAGATTTTGCATACATTTTGCACAAAATTTCGGAAGGTTTAGCTTACACTTTAATTTTAAACCACAGAATGGAGTAGAAAAGAAAAATAGACATAATTCTGCTTCTTCATCCCTACCTCATGGAGAGAAATGGCTGGATAAGAGAGGTGAACATGATTCAACTGTGCGGGTGGGAAGATTTTTAAAGTAACGGGAACAAATGAATTATGTTTCTGACATCAGTAAAAATCAGTGGATATCAAAAAACACGAAGTCCTGTATTGGCCTACAATCCTTATCTCAAATGTAGGAATCTTGATCTCATTGAAGAATGAAGAGTTTGAGGGATAACAATGCCCTGAAGTTTGTCCAGTTTTGTTTGTTTGTTTGTTTGTTTGTTTTTTGAGATGGAGTCTTGCTCTGTTGCCAGGCTGGAGTGTAGTGGCGCAATCTCGGCTCACTGCAACCTCTGCCTCCCGGGTTCAAGCGATTCTCCTGCCTCACCCTCCCAAGTAACTGAGACTACAGGCCCCCGCCACCACTCCCGGCTAATTTTTCTCTTCTTTGGAAGAGATGGGCTTTCACCATGTTGGCCAGGATGGTCTTGATCTCTTGACCTCGTGATCTGCCTGCCTCAGCCTCCCAAAGTGCTGGGATTACAAGCATGAGCCACCATGCCTGGCCAGTTTGTCCAGTTTTATGTTGACTGGTTGAGTGGTTGATGGGGGCTTTCTTGCTTGCCATTTTTATTCACTTAAGGCAGCTCTAGCTTTGGAGAACCTCATGTCCCTCCTAAATAATACCCAGACCTGGAAGGTTCCCTGAGACACATAGGAACAAATTCAATTCCTCAGAATTTTAAAGAACTTTCAGAGAACTATAGAACCCCAAGCGTACCCTTACTTCCTTCTCATTTGTGAATGGGGGCTTCTAAAGGAATGCTGAAAACTCGTATGCCCCCATTTACAAAAGTAACAACCAGATTTTGTAGAGAAACTCTTACTATATCACTGTGATGGAACTTAATGAGTCCTGTCCATGGCTGTGAAAAATAATCTTGCTGTCTTCCTGACACAACTGAGCTGCTGCCTAATCTCAGTTTATGTTTTCCCTCAAAGAAGGCTGTTTAAAATTACATTTTATTTATGTTGTAGAATGAGGTAGGGATGTAAAATGCCCTATAAGAAAAGCACAGGAACGTATATTGGGCTATTTTGATTGCTGTGTACAATAGACCAGAATAAAATTGAGTCTAAGTTGATATTAGCAATAATATTAACGTTGGATTTCAGAAAAACTTCATAAAAGCAGTCTTGTTGATTTGCTATGGTTCATTTTTTCATTTCAGTGGGTAGAGAAACAAACAGTAAAGGATAATGGTGATATTCAGTCACCTGATGGGATCTAGTAAGACTGTTGAAACTAGATTGATTTTGAAGCAGATCACTAAGGAATTAATCTTGGAAGAGAAAAACAACAGCATGTCCTGCCAATGAAAATATAGGAAAGTAAAGCCTTAAATTTACATACACATTTCTATCACAGGTTTAAGATATTTTAGGTTAAACAAATAACCAGAATAATTTTCCATTTTAAATTTCACCACCTGTGTAAGTATTGATCAAAGATTAAAATGTCTGGCCCAGATTATACAAAAACACATTAAAGCATGTCTGTAATAATAAGAGAGATTATATTTTAAGCATTTGAAGGATTTTTCCAGGGGAGATATGCCCTATGTCCAAAGCAAAGCACTACCACCCTATTGCTTTTGAGTATAAACAGTATAAGAAAAGAGAACAAAGTAATTTACCTGATCTGCTTGCTGCTATTTTACCATCTGAAGAAAGAAAGGGAGAATTGCTGTCATTAGTAGTGTCTCTAAATGACAGATTTGCCATTAGAAAGTGAATCTTGATTACAGCCATTTCTTGTCTTTGGGAGGTGCTCCCAAAGAGATATACTCATTGAATTTAATACTCAGGCATAAATATGGTAATTAGCCATTGCCCATGGTACACTTCTGCTTCTCCAGAAAGGGGAAAGTCTGGGCTAATTTTCCAGTCACTCTCACGCCCAGTCTAAATGCATAAATTAGAATGCAGCACTCAATAATATTTAGATGCCTGAAAAGGTGCTTCAAAAGACTATTATTCTTTTGGTAAAACGCAGAAGCTTTAGTTAAAAGATATTTTCACGTGACAAAGGTACTGAATAGAGTACAATTACTTAATCTGAGTCAAATATCTACAATTTCTAGTTTCCAGCTGAATACTAAAATGTATGTATACACAACTTACAAATTATTTAAATGTCATTATTGTAAATCAAGGTAAATTTTCTCCATACTTAAATAAATGGCATGTAAATGTGCAACCTTGTCAAGCTATTGTAAGTACAGCTGAGTCAAAAACTCACAATAAGAATGGGTACTTTACAACAAAAAGTATAATTTACATACACACACACTTATTGAGATTTACAAATACAAAAATATTTTTATTAAATACATCAAGTCATTGGTTTCCAAAAGAATTTTCTCAATAATTCTGTGAAATAAAGTACTTAACAATGGCAATAGAATTTTGCATAAAGTTGCATGTTGATTACATATTAAAGAAACCTCAAAGATGTTTTCAGTAACATTTTTATTTGGAGACTTACAGGATTGTGCTTTGTTTTTAATGCTTATCTATGCTCTGTAACCTTTAAATTTTCTAAACCCAAACTGAACGCATTATTCAAATAAATAGTCAAGGCACATGGTCTGATACTAAGATAAACTTTTAGAAATTTGAACTAAAACCCAATTCAGGAAAATCCAAGACTTACGGTCAGTAAACCTATCCCAGAGAGGAAGGAGTAAATTAAGACAAACAGTAAATAGCACATTTAAAAGATAAAGCATTTCCCATATGTTCTCATAAATTGTTGTCAAAACCAAATCTTACGTAGCTTCACAAACAAATGCACACACACGGATTTAGCCAAAGGCTAAGAAGAAATGGTTTACAGATGTGGATTGGAGACACTTAATATAAATGCTTCAAAAGAAAACTGCACAGTAATATTCTTTATGTAAGTTAAACACCTGGAAAATTCTGACTATCTGAAATGTAGATTGCAGTCAAGAAGTTGTCCCCAAATCCTCTTGCAGCAAATAGAGATATCACTGAGCCCATGTATGAATTCTTGCTTATTCACTGTACCCATCAGGAGAAATCTCTTGAGACCTCACTCAGAGTGCACATCCTTACCACAGTACAAGGCTAATGAGCTTGGATCGATGGTGTTCTCAGCCCAGTGGACTGAAAACAATAGGTAAGAATTGGAACTGACTGCTAAAAGTAGACATGATGATCCCATGAGAATATAGAGCTAGCTGTTGAATGGAAGACAGAGGACAGAAAGGCAAATCAAAAGCAGACAAAGAAACTCAGAAACAATCTCTGGAATAGGGACAAACTGTCTTACTCAAGTCAGTACATTCCAAGGGCATCATTGTATAGATATAATATGATAATGGACATGCATTTTCATGTCCTTAAAAAAAGATTAAGCTATTTTCAGAAGTCCCATGTCTTCTTTGGTAAGAAGTTAGGGTATCCTTGGTTTATTTCAGAAAGTTTACCTTGCAAAGCATTTGGTTACTTTCATGTAGAAAATTCTTGTAGGCAAAATAAATCTTATATTGATCATCCCAATTTATTTTATTCATTTAAAACAAAGATGTACTGAGGACCTACTCCATTGCAGCCACTGCTCTTGGCATTATGAATATAGGGTGAACAGCATAGACCAAAATCCTGTCATTAAGGAGTTCAGATCACATGGGGTAAATGAGGCATCATGGGAGCTCATTCACAAAACCAAGTGTGTAAGAAACACACTAATTTTATGATTCCAAAAGCAGCCTCACAATGCAGCATAATGTTTCAAAGTAAAGATTAATTCCTGAAAGATACTGACCTGATTTTTGTCGGTAAAGTAAGGCTTCCACATCTATTTTAAAAGTGAGAAAAAAAACAGGTTATTTTATAATTCTCTATAACATATTTTAAGACAATGAAAAAGATGTTCTTTTTGTTTTCGTTCTTCCCTAAAATTCAATATAAGCAATCCACTGTTTTTATCTGATAAGTGTAATACTTCAATAGTAATTTATTATTTCACAGCTTTTCTATTTAATAGGAAATGATCTATGTAACACATTTACCTACCAGCATACTTGATATCAAATTTTCAGTGCCAACTAAGACTTGAAAATATGTATGACGAAATAAATTAAGCTCACAAATTAATATTAGCCAATATTTTATATCTTCTTCACATGACTACAGCTGTTGATCTAAAGTATATTTTCTGATCTAAATTTTACATGCTTTTATTTCCCCTAAACATTTTCTGGGTAATGTGTTCATAAGCAGTGAATTAGACAAAAAAGAAACAAGAATAAAAGAACAGAATCAATAATATGGACTTTAATGGTAATATAGGATAGCCTGAGAAAAAAATAAAAGTAGATTATGCATATTTATGCCTGAACTATGTCTCTTATAACTGTTTTTTTCTACTTAACCAGAAAAATTGTTTTTCAATTTTTTTCTTTCTGTATAGTTATGCTTGATTAAACAATGCAAATGTTTCTTCCAATTGATTATATGGATACTGCCTAAATATTTGCTTTCAGCAACTTCCAGTCCCCAAGATTTATCATCCTATAACCTACTGAAAATGATGAGTGTCTGTATTTGAAACGTAAATCACACTGACTAATAGCAACAAAAATTTATTTCAAATAAGGCACCTAGGATTTCTGCAAAGAGCAGTTTTCCAAGTATGTTTCTTAGTTCCCACGATGACATCATGAATAAATACATAAAATCTGAATTTTGTTGATAAGTCGCCTATCCATGGAAAGCCTATTGAAATAGTCACAATCATTTTCCAGATCTACAATGGATGGATATATAGGAATTTACCTTAGAAACATGAGCCAATTCTTCAGTAAATTTAATATACTTTAACAAGTAATTTTAAAATTATTTTTATGGTGATATGACATTTAATAAATACTTTGAAAATAATGTACTCTTTGCTCCATTACTTAGGAAACAAGAAACACATTTATGCAACAGGAAAAAAGAATATAGCAAAGCACTATGTAAGATTATGAAAATCACTATTACACAAAGTAATCATTTTCTAATGGTTCATCAGACAATTTCCCAGATAGTTGGATTAAACAGAAATATTTTCTCTTAATTATAACAAATAATTGCAGTTCTCTATATTCTGACATCTCAGAGAAAAATAAGATATATGTTTTGTGTTCTACTTTCAAATTTAGAGAATAGACTTTTAAGTTTAGATATGGAAAAAACCTGCTTTTTGCAGACTTTTTCCCTTACATTTGGATAATGTTATCTTTTCTGCCATTTTCAGGAACAGAACAATGTTTGTTTCTAGACATTTTTTCATTTTGCTTAGTGTTTAATTTTCTCAAAATAAATGACATCTTACCTTTAAATTAATTTCTGAAATTAATTAATGAACTTTCTAAAATATCCAGGAAAGATGTTAAAGTGTTGTTTTTGATGATGACCCAGTTTTTTAACTGGTGATAATTTCTTGATTTGTGAAAAACATGATTACCTGTTTGCGTCTTTAGTCTTAATATGGATATGCATTCAAGATAGAACCATCAAAGCATAAACTGTGATGAAAATGAGTAACAAACAACACTGTATGTATCTTGTGTGACCTGCTTAGTAATAGTTCTAGGCAGTTGCTAAAAACAAATATATCTAAATGTGTATACATATATTTAAAAGCACTCTTCATTTTATTGTGCTTTACTTTACCGAGGTTTACATATATTGTGTGTTTTACAGATTGAAGATTTGTGGCAACCCTGTGACTACCAACTCTATTGAAACCATTTCTCCAATAGCATGAGCTCACTTCAGGTCTTTGTATCACATTTTCATAATTCTCACAATATTTCAAATTTATTATTATTATTATACCTGTTATGGTGATCTGTGATCAGTGATTTTTGATATCACTCTTGTAATTGTTTTGAGGCATCACCCACACTCAATAAGATGGCAAGCTTAATATATGCTTATGTTCTGACCTTTCTACCAACAGGTCATTGCCCCCATCTCTCTCCCTCTCTTTGGGCCTCCCTTTTCCCTGAGACACAATAATATTGAAATTAGGCTAATTAATAACCCTACAATGGCCTCTAAGTGTTCAAGTGAAGAGTGACAGATCTTGCATTTAATATCAAAAAGTTCGAAATGATTAAGCTTAGTGAGGAAGGCATGTGGAAAGCCAAGATAGGCTGAAAGCTCAGTCTTTTGTGCTGAACACATAGCCAATTTGTGAATGCAAAAGAAAAGTTCTTGAAGGAAATTAAAAGTGCTACTCCAGCGAACACATGAATGATAAGAAAGCCAAACAGCCTTATTTCTGATATGGAGAAAGTTTGAATGGCCTGGAAAGATCAAGCCAGCCACAATATTCCCTTAAGCCAAACTGTAATCCAGAAAAAGGCTTTAACTCTCTTCAGTTGTCTGAAGGCTGAGAGAGGTAAGGGAGCTACAGAAGAGAAGTTTTAAGTTGGCGGAGGTTAGCTCATTAAATTTAAGGAAACAAGTTGTCTCCATACTATGAAAGTGCAAAATGAAGTAGCAAGGGCTGATGGAGAAGCTGCAGCAAGTTCAGAACAGAAGATCTAGCTAAGATAATTCATGAAGATGGCTGCATTGAACAATAGATTTTCATTGTAAACAAAACAGCTTTTGATTGGAAGAAGATGACATCTAGGACTTTAATAGCTAGAGAGGAGAAGTCAATGCCTGGTTTCCAAGCTTCAAAGGACAGGCTGATTCTCTTTTTAGGGTCTAATGCAGCTTCTGACTTGAGGTTAAAACCACTGGTAATTGACCATTCTGAAAGTCCTAGGTCCCTTAAGAATTATGCTAAATCTACTCTGCCCATGCTCTAAATATTGAATAACTCAGCCTGCATGACAGCACATCTGTGTACAACAGGGCTTACTGAATATTTTAAGCCCGTTGCTGAGAGCTACTGCTCAGTATAAAAGACTCCTTTCAAAATATTACTGCTCATTGACAAGAGTTCAAGAGCTCTGATGGAGATGTACCTGGAGATTAATGTTGTTTTCAGGCAGCTAACACAACATCCATTCTGCAGCCAACAGGTAAAGGAGTAATTTTGACTTTCATGTCTTCTTATTGAAGAAATAAATACATTTCATAAGGTTATAGTTGCCGTAAATAATGATGCCCCTGATGAATATAGTCAAAGTAAACTGAAAATCCTCTGGAAAGGATTCACCTTTCTAGATGCACATTCATGATTCATGAGAGGAAGCCAAAATATCAACATTAAAATAATTTGGAAGAAGCTGACTTGTAGAAGTTCAAGACTTCAGTAGAAGAAGTAACTGTCGATGTGGTAGAGAGAGCAAGAGAACTAGAATTAGAAGTGGAGCCTGAAGATGTGACCGAATTGCTGCAATCTCATGAGAAAACTTGAACAGATGACGAGTTGCCCCTTATGAATGAGCAAAGAAAGTGATTTCTTCAATTGAAATCTACTTCTGGTGAAGATGCTGTGAACATTGTTGAAATGACAACAAAGGATTTAGAAGAGTAGACAAAGATAGATGCTAAAGCGGTAGCAGGATTTAAGAAAACTGACTCCAACTTTGAAAGAAGTTCTACTGTGGGTAAAATGCTATCAAGCAGCATTGCATGCTACAAAGAAATCGTTCATGAAATGAAGAGTCTATCAATGTGGCAAATGCCATAGCTTTCTTATTTTGAGAAATTGCCACAGCACCCCCACCACCTTCAGCAGCCACCACATTGGGTACTCAGCAGCAGTCAACATCAAACCAGCAAAAAGATTACAACTCACTGAAAACTCATATGATCATAGCATTTTTTAGCAATAAAGTATTTTTAATTCAGGTATATATATTGTTTTTATACATAATGCTATTGTATACTTAGTCTACAGTATAGGGTAAACATAACTTTTATAAGTGTTGGGAAGCAAAAAACTGTGTGTGCTTTATTGCAATATTCACTTTATTGTGGTAAGCTAGAAGCAAACCCGAGATATCTCCAAGGTATGCTTGTATCCACACTCTTAAGACACGATTGTTAAAGCTGAGGTAATACACAGTAAGATGAAAAATCCAGTTTTCTTATCCTACTTTAAAGTGTAGTGTAAGAAAGATTGCTAGGAAGAAAAATGTTGGATCTACAGAACACTAAACATTCAGACAAATATATACTTGGGGTCCATCACATTTGAAAGAATTCTTTAAATTAGTTTCTTACCTTTGAAGAAGCACCAAAGTGCCACAACCAAGTACCATAAGATCAACTTCATGGTTGTGATTTGGGACCTAGAAATGGAGGATAGTCATTCTGGAGAGACAAGTCTACAAGGGCCCTTGTAACTTTGGTTTTTATACCCACTCATCCCACTGTCTGCCATCATGGGCTAGGTGTGGTAAACTTGGTGACAAGAGAGCAAAGGTAAATGTCATAGGCTGCCAAAGATGAAATCCACTTTCAGTCTGTTTAGTGCCTTACTCCTATGACATCTTCTATCTTGGACCAAATCCAGCTCATACCAAACCCAGAACATGTCTTCTTGCCACCCTGTGCAAACAGCAAAACCAGGAACTAAAAGCCCCAGGATTAAAAACTAAATATGCTGAGGATACACACATTTATCTATCCCCTATTAATCACTGCAGAAGTCTTAATACCTCAAGAAACTCAAATATTGTGATTAAATATTGTAATTGTCTTTCCCTTAACAACAAAATATATTTTAAACATTAACCTACTTTGAAACAAAGAACTCTTTACTTATCAATACGTTATTAGGCATTTTCTTAAAGAAACACAGGTTATAAGTATAGGTATAGATGCACTAAGATGTATAACTGTACAGTAATAGCTTTATTATTCAAAAGGATATGTAAGACTCTAATGATATAGGTTTTTACTTTACAATAAGATATGTAAATAAGTAGAAAATATATTAAAATGAAAACAACATAAAAAGAATGTTTTAGGACAAAAACAAATTTAAATAGAAAATGTCATTCATCAATATATATATCTAGATATCCTGGGTAAAGAGAGAAGTTCAAGTTAGAATCTGGGAGGAGTTCTGGTCTGGTCTGTGATGAGCAGGGTAGAGAGGATTAACAAGGGAGGAATCTCTTGCGCCAGTCAGGTGGACCTGGAAAATGGAAAGGCCACCTCCACAGCTTCGTTGATGCCATTTGCTCCTCATCTGCTCCCAGTTGCTACCAAGAAAAGACTTTAGCAGCTAAAATGAAAGCAGTCCTTAGTTTATCTCCCCAGAAAAGCAGAAGAATCCAGGAAAGGGGGAAAAGGTATGGACCAACAGCCTTTTTCTTCCCCTTTATTTACTCATGACTCAACTCACTTAAAACAAATAAATAATTCCTACCTTTTCAGAGGGCCTCACCAATACATATTGAATGCTTTTACACATACTCCTTGGCTGGCCAAATCTGTTTAGTCTATTTGTTGAGTCTTAAATTATTTCAAAAGGGGACAGAATTTAACAGATTACAACATTTTAATTGCATTTGCCTGATTAAGGTGGCACATTTACTGAAGGCCATGCAATATTAAATCTGACACCAGTGTAAGTATCAGAGCTTTTTCTATGAGTCAGGTATTTGGAGATGGTAAACAATAGACATTTTAGAGCTGGAGAAGAGGACTCACTCCAAGAACAGAGAAAGAGGTAACAAATGGAGGTTAAAGAGACTAACAACTCATAGACTTTGTCATTTTTCCAAAACCCAGCCTTTTTTCTTTCAATGATTCACAAATTCATTAAGATGGTACATAAAGGACTTTTCTCCAACATAGAAAAAAATATAGTTCAGAGGGAACTATCTTATACATTGAGACATATGACTCACAATAACACTGCCATTGATGATGTTCTTTTCTTTATCATACACGACTTCATTGTGAAGAAGATTTGATCTCAGGAAACCCATTTTTTAGATTATCATTATGACATAATTATTCTGCTATATGCTTCACAGTAAGCTTAGACTTGTAGGAGCCAGAATGATACAAAGTTATCAGGGGCTGTTGAGCAACTAAGAATATATGCAAGATACAACATTTCAATAAGCAAGATTGAAAGGGAATGCTATGGAAGCTCCAAGGAAGGTGAGATTACTTTTAGCTTAGGAGAATCGGGGAACATTTCATTACATTTGCTTGGCACAACCCTAACCATGCTTAAATTAAACTCTTTCCTCTTTCCAACTACACAGTGCAGATGAACACAACTGGTTCATCTATGAACCATATGCTAACTTGTCTCTCTTAAATTCATTACCCTGAATGGACCCTTAAGACAGCTAGGCAATTATATTTTCTAGTCCATTTGCTGTCATATTCTTCTATTTCATATCTTCTCTCCTCTCCAACATCCAACACCTCTTTCCCATCATCCCTTTCTGTTAATAACATTATTTCCAGTTTTACTGAAAAAACAAAAGCTATCAAAAGAAACTCTACCAGATTTCTACTCAAACTTTACCTACGTTCTTATTTATCCAGATGAACTCTCTGTGCCATGATCAAAGGCCAACTCTTTCATTTGTATACTGGATTCCATCCAAGAATATTATGCCAGCAATTCATTCATCTCTAGGTTTCCCCCCTTTTGGATTATTCTCAACAGTATAAATGCATGAGCTTATTTCTCCTAACTCAAAATAAATAAATACATACATGAAACAACGCTATGAAATGAGAATTATATCTCAATAAAGCTGTTTAAAAAAAAACTGTGGAACTCACTTCCTTTCTGGCTCTCTTCTCATTTCTCTTTTCCCTTTAATGATTAAATATCACAAAAGAGGTATTTGTGCTCATGGACTCTACTTCCTGACTTGTTCACTCATAAACTTTGTTCCTTCAAGTTTTCACTCCATCACTGAACAAGATGTGTTCTTGGCAAGGACAGTGGTGATTGATCCCCTTTTGTGAATCTAATGGTCAATTTTCAGTCCTTATTTTATCAACCTCTCAACAACAGCATTGAACACAGTTGATCAATTCCTGCTTTTCAGTACACTTTATGTCACTTCTGCAAATTCCAAGCTTTTTTCTATTTCATTTGCTGCTCCTTTTTATCCTCTGTTGATTCCTTCTCATATCCCAAGGCCTGTTAACATGAGGACCCTGAGGCTCAAATTTGAATCTTTCTTTTTGTTATTCACTCCTTGGGGGATTCTATTCAAATTCTATGAATTTTAATACCATGTATATGCTCATTACTTTCAAGTTTATATATCTAGCCTGGCCTTTTCCTCTGAGCTCCAGGCTCATATTAATCATCTTCATTTGAATGTCTGCTAGGCAGCTGAAACTCAATGTGCCCAACATGAAACTCCACTTCCATGTTCCATCTCTTCCACAGATGTGCTTCTCCCAATGTCTTTTCATCTCAGTTAATGGAGACTTTGTTCTTCCAGTTACCTCTACCTACAGTTTGGAGCCATCCTTGACTCCTCTTTTTCTCTCACCCATCTCCTACTCATTCCATCAGAAAATCCTCTTAATTTTTACTTTAATCTTGAGTCCAACCTCTTCTCTGCACCCCCACTACCACCACCCTGATACCCCTCATTTATGCTGCCATCACCTCTGGCCTAGATTACCATAATGGACTTTCAGCTAGTCTCTCTATTCATCTACTTATTCACTGTGGCTAATCTCAGGACATCAGCCAGCATGGTCCTGTGCAAACTGACTCTTATGCTGTGTTTCTCCACTCAAAACTCTGCATGGCCTCATTTCATTCAAAATAAAACCAACACCATTAACATGGCTTACAAGGCCCTGCTCCATCAGCCCCAACTCTCTCATCTCACCTCCTACCTACCTATTCTTACTGTCTCCACTCCAGCCTCAGAGGCCTCCCTACTATTGGTGGAGCTCACCAGGTACACTCATACCTCAGAATCACACTCAGAATCTGATATGGTTTGGCTGTGTCCCCACCCAAATCTCATCTTGAATTGTAGTTCCCATAATCCCCCTGTATTGTAGGAGAGATCCAGTGGGAGGTAATTTAATCCTGGGGGTGGTTACCACCATGCTGTTCTTGTGATAGTGAGTGAGTTCTCATGATATCTGATGGCTTTATAAGGGGCTTTAGCCCTTTGCTAGGCACTTCTCCTTCCTGCTGTCATGTGGATAAGGATATGTTTGCTTCTGCTTTTGTCACCAGTGGATCTTTTCTCCTAGAGCTCCCAAGGTGGTGGCAGGCCACACCCAAGATGGCAGCAAGCCTTTTGTTCTCTGACCTGGGGTTCTTGGCCTCATGAATTCCAAGGAATGGAACCTTGGGCATGCGGTGAGTGTTATAGCTCAATTAGAAGCTGTGGGTCATGGAAGAGAACCGTGGAATGTTTGGCTCAATTAGGATGGACCCGGGCACTTAGCTGCACAGGAACAATGGTAAGCCTCTAGTATGATCAGGAGTCACAATGGTGCCTCACTGGATCAGAAGCACAGCAGACACCCTGCCAAATCTGGAGGGGTGGAGTCAACAGTGGGTCTGCAACAGTGGCATTCAGCAGTGGTTGATGGTGAGCAAAAGCTCAGCTTGAGCTGGAACAAACATGGATCAGAAGAGTGTGCAGTTGCAAGATGTAACGGAGTGACAACAGAGCTCTCATACAATGGGAGGGGACCCAAAGGGGGTTGCCACTGCCGGCTCGAATGCCCTGGGTTTATATCCCGATCATTGTCCCTCCCCTTGTGCTCTCAGGCAATAGATGATTTCACTATTTCTTTACCTCCTGCTCTTAGACTAATTGGTGAGCCCTCTTTACTACCTGATTGGTCAGGTGTGAGCTAAGTTATAAGCCCTGTGTTTAAAGGTGGGTGCGGTCACCTTCCCCAGCTAGGCTTAGGAATTCTTATAGGAAATCCAGCTAGTCCTGTCTCTCAGTACCCCCTCTCAACAGGAAAACCCAAGTGTTGTTGGGGAGGTTGGCCAATGACTGCGCTAACTGCTTCCTGCTGAATTGGGGTGTAGTAGGGGTCATGCAGTTGATATTTCCCCAGGAGGGGTACCTTCGATGTCATCAACATTGGAGCATGGGCTAGCAGGCTGGTCCAGGGGTCCACAGTACATCTTAGTCATGGACTGCATCTGGGGCTCCATTTGAAGAATGATTTGTAGTTTTACAGCTTCGATTCTGGAAGAGACAAACTTAACAAGGAGGTTAAAGATACATGGATGCAGAAAAAGGCATCTTTAAGGTCCGGGACCATAAACCACTCTGCTTCCCCTGGTATTTGGGAAAGCAGGGTATAAGGGTTAGGTAGAGCTGGGTATAGAGGTACAACGGCCTTACTGATAATCCTGAGATCTTGCACTAACTTCCACTGTCCATTGGGTTTCTGTACTCCTAAAATTGGAGTATTGCAGGGACTATTGCATGGTTTTACTAAGCCTTGGGCTTTTAGGTCTTTAACAATCTTTTGGACTCCTTGCTGGGCCTCATGTCTAAGTGGGTACTGCCTTTGGTAGGGAAAGGAGGTGGAATCCTTTAGTTTAACTTGAATGGGATGGGCATTCTTCGCTTGTCCATATTGTCCTTCTGTTGCCCAGACTTCAGGACTAATTCCTTCCTCAAGTAGGGAACAATAACCTGTGTTCCCTCTCCTATGCTCAGGTGTATAATGGCCCCTGCTTTAGCTAGGATGTCTCTCCCTAACAAAGGAGTGGGGAATTCAGGCATAATTAGAAAGGCATGTGAAAAGAGTGAAGTTCCCTAGTCACAACTTAGTGGCTGGGAGAAGTATCTAGTGACTGCCTGTCCTAAGACCCCTCAGATAGAGACAGATCTGGAAGACAGTTGTCTGGGACAGGAGAGTAAGACTGACAAGGCCACACCAGTATCCAGAAGAGAGTTAACCCCCTGGCACTCAATGGTCAAGCATACCTGGGGCTCTGTGAGGGTGATGGCATGGGCTGGCGCTTGCCCCAGGCACCCTCAGTCCTGCTGCTGGATTATCTGGTTAGTGGCTTCTGACTCAGAGGACCTTTGTCCCCTGGGGCAGTGGGCCTTCCAGTGATTCCCTTGACATAAGGGGCATGGATGAGGGGGTGGCTTATTTCTATTCGGACAATCTTTTTTAAAGTGTCCTTGTAGACCTCACTGGAAGCAAGCCCTATTAGGCATTTGATTTGCCTAGCCTTTCCCTGTTCCAGAGCCTCTAAAGTCCACTTGCCTGAGGGCCATGACTAAAGTGGTGGCCTTTTTCTTATCCTGTTTGTCCCGTTCTGCCTGCTCCTCCTGATCTCTATTATAAAAAACCGAGGTTGCCAAGTTCAATAGGGTTTCTAAGTTTTGCTCCAGGCCTAAGGTGGAATTTGAAGTTTTTTTCTAATGTCTGCAGCTGACTGAGTGATAAACTTATCCTTTAACCTTAGTTGGCCTTCAATAGAGTCAGGTGACAGTGAGGTATGCTTCCTCAATGCCTCTCTTAGTCTCTCCAGAAAGGCAGTAGGATTTTCTTCCTTTCCCTGTGTTATAGTGGATATCATTGACTAATTTATTAGGCTTCTTCCTAGTTTTCCTTAGTCCTTCTAGCACGTCAGTTAGCAAATATCTGTGGCACCAATCTCCATGTTCTGATTCTGTGTCCCAATGAGGGTCTACACTGGGAACTGCCTGCTGGCCTGTGGGGAATTGTTCTCTTTCCTCTGTTATCTTCCTATCATTGACCTGACTGAGATACCAGAGATCACCAAACTCTCGGACTGCAGTTATGGCGGCACTTCTCTCATTTGGGGTTAGTGTCTGATCTAGCAGTAACATTATGTCTCTCCATGTCAGATAATAGGGTTGTCCTAACCCTTGTAAAACATCAATATAGCCATCAGGGGTATCTGAGAATTTACCTAGGTCTATTTTAATTTGCTTCAAGTCTGACAGAGAAAAAGGTATATGCACTCTGGGCTGAATTCTCCAGAATACATCTTAGTGGCATTTTTGCCTTGGGAGAAATGTTTCCCATCTGGAAAAAGAACATAGGGATGCCGGCAACCCTAGTCATTTTCCAATGAGCATTAGTCCTAGAGCGTCCTCTATGGTCCTAATGCTTATTCCTTTCCAGGGTGCATAACCACCCATGGACCTCTGCTTATCGGATTAGTTACGCTCACCGATGTAGTAGTCCTGCACGCCTTTTCCCACCTTTCTTGACCACAGAGAAACGGGTCTGGGCTGCTGGATTCTAGAGGTCCTTTACCAGCGTGCCCAACATTGCCTTTGCGCTAGGGGTGAGTTCTAGAGCTGGGCTGGGCTTCTGAATATTTCATAAGAACCCAGCTGCCCCATCAAGATGCATTCCCATAAACAACAGTTCTTATGCAAATTCATTTCAGAGAGGGTGTAGACAACCTTTTGAGTCAGAACTGAGATAGAGTTTTTGCCCACTAGGGCCTTTGTCCTTCTTTTCCTTTGTAGAAATACACCCTGATTATCAGTCTTAAATTTTTTGTTGCCCTGGATTAAGTCCTTTTGGGTATGAAATATGAGAGATGGATCTTTTTATCCTATGTGCCTTTTTCCTGTGAGAAGGAGAGCGAGGAGAAAAAGATGGGCTTGCAGGTTTTTTAAGTACTTTAAGGCTTGGCTGAGTGCAAAATTGGTCTGCACGTTTGAGCAGACCAATTATTAAGCAATTTTCCTAACTCTGCTTTTACGAGAGTTTCCCTCAATTACTGAATACCAATTGTGTTTTTTTCCCTCAATCACTCGGGAGGAACCATCTATTGCCCTGTCCTGAAGGGAGTTCCTCCTAGGTCTGGTCGGACCTTTGCATAATAATTAAGATTTAAATCCCCTGTTATGAAATCTGCTGGGTTAAGGGAATTATCAGTGGTTAGTGTTAAATCACCTTTTTCTAACAGAAGAGCCCTATACTTTAAGATTTTTGAGTTAGTAAGCTACCTTTTTGCTTTTTTTGACTTAGGATAGCTCTGAACTGGTGAGGTGTGCTCACAATGAGATTTCCTCTAAAAGTTATTTTTCTACTTTCTTCTGTTAGCAAAGCAGTTGCTGCTACAGATTGAATGCATTTGGTCCATCCGTGGGTTACTGGGTTAAGGATTTTTGATAGGAAGGCTAAGGGTTGTCCGTGGTCTCAGTGTTTTCAGGCTATGCCCTTGTTTACACTGACAACAAGGTAGTATTGGAGTGTTATAGGGTCATGGAGAAGACCTTCAATTATCAATTATAGGTTTTAAAGTTAGCCTGGCTTTTAAAGGAATAGGGCACACTGTTTTTTCTTTACCACTTCTATCTTTCTCTCTTTCCCTCTTTTTCCCTTTTTTCTCTCTCTTTCTTTCTTTTCTCTGACTTTCTCTCTCTCTTTTCTCTCTCTCCCTTTTTCTCTCTCTTCTCTCTCCCTCTCTCTGCCTTCTCTCTTTTCCCTTTAATTTACTCATTTTGCTTTCACCCTGATCTGTTATGTTGTTGTAGACCCAATTCCAGTTGTTAAAGTACTGGGTCATCAGCTCTAAGGCCCTGGCCAAGGAGCCAAGGCTTGGAGATTGTATTGCAGGGGGAGGGTAAGCTGGGTAGAAATTGGGAGAGGAGAGTATCTTGCACAATGGGAGAGCAATCCTCCTAGCCACTTACAAACTTGGGGCCCTGGCAAGGGTGGTGGGGAACGGGTCCCACATAACTGCCCATGTCAAGAGCTGTATACCTAAATTGGGAGGGATACCAGGGGCAGACTCACTGGATTCACAGCCTAGATGCCTGAGGACGCAGCATTGAGCTTCCTTAGATCCCTTTGGAGATACAACTTGCTCTAATACTTGGGATAGGAAATGAAAGTCTGAAGCATTAGTACCTAGGAGGCAGGGATCAGAGGTAAGGAGAATTTTGGGGCTACACTTTCAAGAAAGTCTTGGTCAGGACCCAGGAGGTATGGGTCAGAAGGAGAGGTAGGGGCACATTCATGGGCAACTATTGAGTAGAGACTTCTGGCTGTGCCATGAACTCGACCGGCCAATGCCGGGAGTTCAGGACGACAGCTTTCTGCCTCTAGTTGGCCCTTGGCTTCCCCCAGGAAATTGTGAAAGTGGAAGCTGGTTCCAGGCAGACCAATGCTCCCAACCCAGAAGGGTTGGGGGTCATTAGAAAGCCTTTTTCCAGGAAGCCTCACACCTGAGTCTTAAGTCCGGTGGCCACGCTAATCATTTTTAACCAGCCAACAGGTGCCCAGTATTTCCTCCAATTCTAAGGAATAGGACAGAATAGCAAGCAAAAGTGGTCTATTACTCATCGCTTTGGAGAATCCCCGTGCAGGCAACCAGATGTTACCAGCAGGTCTTTGTTCTTAGAGCTCCCAAGATGGTGGTGAGCTGCTCTCAAGATGGTGGCGGCTGCTCCCAAGATGGCAGCAAGCCTTTTGTTCTCTGACCTGGGGTTCTTGGCCTCATGGATTCCAAGGAATGGAACCTTGGGCCATGCAGTGAGTGTTATAGCTCTATTAGAAGCCTTGGGTCATGGAAGAGAACCGTGGAACCCAGTGACTAGTGTTCAGCTCAATTATGATGAACCCGGGCACTTAGCTGCACAGGAACAATGGTGAACCTCTAGCCTGATTGGGAGGAGCAATGGGTGCCTCACTGGATCAGAAGCACAGCAGACACCCTGCCAGATCCGGAGGGGTAGGATTCAACAGTGGGTCTGTGACAGCAGCATTCAGCAGTGCTTGGTAGCAAATGAAAGCTCAGCTCGAGCCGGAACAAACACGGACCAGAAGAGTGTGCAGTTGCAAGATTTAATAGAGTGAAAACAGAGCTCCCATACAATGGGAGGGGACCCAAAGGAGGTTGCCACTGCCGGCTTGAATGCCCTGGGTTTATATGCTGATCATTGTGCCTCCCCTTATGCTCTCAGGCAATAGATGATTTGATTATTTCTTTACCTCCTGCTCTTAGCCTAATTTGTATTTTAGTAAGCCCTCTTTACTACCTGATTGGTCAGGTGTGAGCTGAGTTACAAGCCCTGTGTTTAAAGGTGGCTGTGGTCACCTTCCCCAGCTAGGCTTAGGAATTCTTATAGGAAATCCAGCTAGTCCTGTCTCTCACTTTTGCCATGATTGTAAGTTTCCTGAGGCCTCCCCAGCCATGCTGAACTGTAAGTCAATTAAACCTCTTTCCCTTATAAATGACCCAGTCTCAGTTATGTATTTATTAACAGTGAGAGAAAGGATTAATACACCATCCCACCTTTGTACTGCTGCTTCTGCTCCTTAGAATATGCTCCTCAGATAGCCACGCAATATGCTCCCTTACCTCACTAAAACTCAGATTTTTATGACATATTTTACAAATAGCTAGTATTTACTTCCGTTCCCAGACCAAACTGAGGATTGGGCTATTTCTCAGGGCCGAATAGTGAGATGCAGATGAAATAGGGAGGGAGAGAGTTTTAATTTCTGCAACCAGTTACAGGGAGAAGGCCTGGAAATTATCACCAGGCCAACTCCAAATTACAAATTTTTCAAGAGCTTATATACCTTAAGCTATATAGTATATAAACTATATGTCTAGGTGTAAATGTGCATTCATCTAAAGACATAAGTGATATAACGTCTTTTTTTTTTTTTTTTTTTGAGATGGAGTCTTGCTCTGTTGCCCAGGCTGGAGTACAATGGTGCGATCTCAGCTCACTGTAACCTCCACCTCCTGGGTTCAAGCAATTCTCCTGCCTTAGCCTCCTGAGTAGCTGGGACTACAGGCGTGTGCCACCATGCCCAGCTAATTTTTTGTATTTTTGGTAGAGATTGGGTTTCACTGTGTTAGCCAGGATGGTCTCAATCTCCTGACCTCGTGATCTGCCCACCTTGGCCTCCCAAAGTGCTGGGATTAGAGGCATTAGCCACCGCACCCGGCCTAACTTCTTTAAATCTATAACTAACGTCTGAGTTCTGAAGGAGTTCCTATAGAGCCTCAGTAAATTTACTTAATCTGAATGGGTCCAGGTGCTGGGGTGATTATCCTTATCTTGTCTCCTGCTAAATCTCGGAGGTTTGAGGAGTTCCTTCAGACTCCCAATAAACTTGTTTATGGAGGCCTGGGGAGTTTCTTTAGACCCACAATAAAACTTATTTAGTCCTCAGTGGTCCTGTTAAGAATTCCTTCATTATTTTGTCATGCTTTAAGGCCCAGGAAATGCCTAGGCAAAACTATTGATGGGCTTTTGTTAAATCTCAGCCTTTGTATAAGGGCACTGGCTTTTAATATTTAACTTCACCACTCAGTCAGCACGGAAACAGTTGTTGTGGAGGCCTGCATTAGTGACACCTGGCCTGACACACTTCTACATGCTATAATTAGTTCTTCCTCCAAAATAACTTTTTCAGAGTTATAATTAGACTTCAGCTTTAATGAGTTAAAACCTCCCTATATGTAAGGGATTTAAAATGTGGATAATTTGCATATGTTTTAAGCAGATGTCTAAGAAGATGGATAATAACATAATAAGATTATATTATCAATATTCTATACCAAATTCTGTAATAAATTAAAAGACTTTTAAATTTCTTGCAGACCCTTTTATACTTTTGTGTAATTGCTATTTCTCCCAGATTCCACTTTCTCACCCCATGTATGTCTTTGCTCAAATACTAATTTCACTTGAACTCCTTTCCTGAATACCTTACTTTCAACTGCAAATCTTACCCCACTCCACTCCTTCCCTATCCCTATTCTCTGAAGCACTCACCACCAGCTGATGTATACATCTTAATGTAATCTATTTACTACATGTAGTTATTATCTGTCTTTAGTAGTAGAATGTAAGTTTGATTAGGGCAGGGATCTCTGCATGTTTTGTTCACTCTTGAGTCTCAATGCCTGGAAGAGAACTTGGCACAAATAAGTGCTTAATAAATATTGAATGATTGATTTAGTGAATAATTTTATTGGGCTCAAAAATAGGTTACATTAAGGCTGGGCACGGTGGCTCACACCTGAAATCCCAGAACTTTGGGAGGCCAAGAGAGGGCAGATCCCAAGGTCAGGAGTTTGAGACCAGCCTGGCCAACATGGTGAAACCCCGTCTCTACTAAAAAAATTCAAAATATTAGCTGGGCTTAGTGGCAGGTGCCTGTAATCCCAGCTACTCGGGAGGCTAAGGCAGGAGAATCGCTTGAACCCAGGAGGCAGAGGTTGCAGTGAGCTGAGATCACGCCACTGCGCTCTAGCCAGAGTGACAGAGTGAGACTCCATCTCAAAAAAAAAGGTGACATTAAATAACAATGGCAATAGTAATAGTCATAATAGTCATTTAGTCTTAAATAGACTTAAATAGTCTATTCAAAAAACCAATTCTTAAATAGGTTTTATTATTGCAACTATTTACATTGAGACGTGATTCAGTTTAATACAACATGCAGTTATTTCACACAGTACTTAAACTGGGAATACATGATGGATAAGAAGAGAGTCCTACCATTAGAAACTTCTAGCCTAAATTCACCCCCAGTGAGTTATTACAAAGGACGAATGTACTGGTGGTGTTAACAGTTTCTGTTTGATTTTAACAGTTCAAAATCAACTAGTAGTGAAAAATAATCACTAAGTTTTAATGATGCTTTCTAGAACTTCTCCACTGCAATGTTAATAACCATAGATAAAATTTGGTTTACACTGGAACTAAAAGTCAAGATAACAATAAAATGACAGCATATTATGTTTATATTTGTTGCTTTTCTATGAGTATTTTAAAACTTTTATGAAGACCCTGATAATTTGATGATTATGTATGAAAGCTTTTTTATCCTCTCAGATTTCAAAGCATGTGTAATTGATAACATAATAGAAAAAGTATATAATATATACACATGAATTAATACTATCAACTTAGCAAATGTTAAATAGAATGCAGAAAAAGAATTTTTTTAGGAAGAAGATTCATTTTGTTCAGGAACTTCTCACTAGGTAGCTTGTTTTACAATGACATTAAGCATGTAACTCTTTTGTAACAGTATATCAATTGGATAAAGTCGTCTAATAATATGAAAACATATACTGCATAACTTCTATACATAGATTAAAAGCATATCCATCAGAAAGAACAATAGTCAAATGTCTCCTTGTTTTAAAATGTTGTGGCTTAAGTGTCTGCACACTTAAAGATACAATGCCAGAGAAAAGGTCAACTGTTGAAAGAACAATAGCATCAGTATGTGCAAGGCAATTTTAATTTAATTTTATTTTATTTTAAGTTCCTGGATACATGTGCAGGATGTGTAGGTTTATTACATAGGTACATGTGTGCCATGGTGGTTTGCTGCACCTCTCAACCCATCACCTAGGTATTAGCTATTTATCTTAATGCTCTCCCTCCCTCCGCCCCCCAACAGGCCCAGTATATGTTGTTCCCCTCCCTGTAAATCAGTTTGTTTTTATGAAATGTTTGTACTAGGAGAAAATACAGAAAATGCTAAATAATATCTATTTGGATTGTGGAAAAGAAGCTCCCCATTTTCTATATATTATGAGCTGAAATTACATTTGAAAATGGATTGTCTGAAAATCTAAAAAATTTTTGTTATATGGAAAGTTTCATTCCAAGAGAAGTAAAAGTACAATTAAATTTTAAAATAAATATTATTTAAATTAACATAATTATGTAAAACATAAATAATGTTATTAGATGTAAACAATAAATAATTTTCTAAAGTGATTTATCTCCTCCAATTTAACTTTTCAGCATTTTCCTAGAGTAGTATTTAGTATGCAGAAGAAACTCACAATGTTGGAATGGACTTTCGGATAGTGATTTTAAAAAAGCATACATGAGAAATTTTGTCAGTGTTCTGAATAGAATATTATGGTGGTATTGATACTTGCAGTTGTCATATGAACTCCCCTTAATAACATTTTAAGAGGAATTTGAACACTGGCCTTCCCCTGGTAAATAGGTCTCTATAGTAAGCTGTATTCCTGACAAAAGTTCTATACCTGCGTCTTCTGTCTGCATTTGTATCATTGAAATGATTTCTTGTGCTCAATCATAAGCCATATTTTAATGGTCACTCTATCATTTGTCCTGCACAATCACCCACACAGTTATTATATCAGCTCCTTCTTTCTACATCTCCTCTTCTACTTCTTAACATTCATTACTGTCTTTCCATTCTCATTGTGCCTTTTTAGATGTACTCCTTTATGCACTTCATTCAGCCTTCCACTCCTTCCCACTCTGTAAACTCTGTTCTATCAGTGGTCACCACGTATAGCTTCATCAAGTTCATTTGCTTTACTAAGTCCAGATAGATCCTCATTGAATGTTCTGCCATTTTTTACTTCACTGATTATCTCTTTAAACTATCTCCTTCTCAGCCTCTGTCCTCTTCTAACTCTTCTGAATATGGCTTTTTTCAGAGCTCTCTTTTCTCAATGTGCTCTGCACATTGGCCAGGTCATCTTGTCTCAGGTTTTAATTGATAGTGTTATGGGCTAAATTTCCTTGTACATTGAAAAAATTCCTATGTTGAAGTCGTAATCCCTAGTACCTCAGAATATAACCCTGTTTGTGGATAGGATCTTTAAGGAAATAATTAAATTAAAGTAAGGCCATTAGGGTGAACCCTAATCCAATAGATTGGTGCCTTATAAGAAGAGAAAGTCTGGACAAAGACAGGTGCAGGGGGAAGACGATGTGAAGACACAGGAAGAAGACAGCCACCTACAAGCCAAGGAGAGAGGCCTGGAACAATAGTTCCCTTACAACCCTCAGAAGGAGCCAACACTGCCAATACCTTGATCTCAGACTTCTAGCCAAAATAAATTTCAGTGTTTAAGCCATCCAGTCTGTGGTTTTGGCAGTCCTAGCAAACAAATACAGATGGCCTCTCAACAGATGACTTACAAATCTGCTTCTGACCCCCCAGTCTCTTCTGAGTTTTGGATCAGTATTCACAACCATCTATTGAATATTTCCATCTGTATGTTTTATAAGAAGTTTAAATACATATGTCAAACTTTAAATAATTATCTGCACCAGACCTGCTGCTCTTCTTTACTTCTCAGTATATCTCTGTACCCAACAATCTAAGCTTAAAATCTCACAATTTTATTGAATGTATAGTCTTAATTTTGATGTTAAAACTGAAAAGGCATGATGTAGCAATGTTAAGTGGAAATGAATGGCTTTTTTCATTATCTGTGAATCATTTATATTTATTAAACCATATGCTCTAGTTGACAGGCTGGAGAAAATCAACAACTAAAACTGAGATGAGAAGCTCAGACATTTGGGAAATGTATTATCAAATGTTTTCAGGACAATTTTAGTTCATTCAGTGAAAGTAAATTAGTTTGTTTCATCTTTAAATTTAGAGACATAATGTACTAAATAAATATGTAAAACATAAAATTATATTTTAAGGAATTATTATACAAGAAATACCCATTTACCCACCAGCTAGGTCAGGAAATAGAACATTTTCCAGCATCTCAGAATCCTCTACCTGCCTACTTCTCAATTGTAATTCTTTCCCTTCTTTATAGAAATAACCACTCTCTTAATGTTTCTATTTTTCATTTTCTTACTTACCTTATAATTTTACCACTTATATTTATACATCCTTAAACAATCGAGTTCAGTTTTGATTTTTAATTTTATGTGAATGGAAGCATACTATATAAATTCTTTGCATTGTGTTTCTCTCACCCAACATTTTTTGTGGGAGTCATCCATGCCTTTTCTTTTTATTTTCTGCATTTTCACTTTAGTGTGTCAATGTGGGGATGTCCTAATTTATCTTTATTTGGAGTCTCAGTTTCTTGTATGTATGCAAATTGGTATCTTTCATCAGTTCTAGTTATATCCTAGTCATTATCTCTTCAAACATATTTCTCCTCTATATTCCCCTTCTCTGGCATTCCAATCAGACATAAGTTAGACATTATTACTCCACCTTGAAGAGTCTTGACTATTTGGTTTACATTGTTCATCTCTGTTTCTGTCCATGTTGCATTCTAGAAAATCCTTTTTGCCTTATCTTCCAGTTAATTAATTTTTCCTTCATCTGTATCTAAAATGCTATGAACTCCATATATGATATTTTAAATTATACATATTATATTTTTTCTTTTTAGAAGTTCTACTTGACTCTTTTTCAAATCCCCTTAATCATATTTATAGCTTCCTGCCCGCTGAAGAAATGTTCAAATGTGTCTTTATTTCAGATCCTATGTTTCACCTTCTGGTATTTGGACTCTTAGCTGTTTTTTTTCTGCTCTTAGTTGATCCTGAAGCATCTCTTTCACGTCGTCATTTTTCTCTTAAGCTTCATTTATTTGAACTGTACATTGTACACTGCTTATTGTCTTTAGAAAGCATATTATTTGAGAAATATTAATAGGATAAATATATATTTCATTAGAGAAGATTTAGATTTTCTTATCCCAGGCACCTAACTACTAATGGAACTACTTTCAATAATAAACCTCTCAATGTTTTTAGAAACATCTGTGATATAAATTTGACCTGTAAATCTCTTGTGACTTCAGAGTTACAATGACTCAGATGCTTTTCTTACCACCTTGCTATGCTCAACACCAAGACTATTTTACTTTGTGCAGTGAGGGACTGTAAAAGTGTGGCATGGGTGAAATCTGGTCTACCATTCTAAGAATAGCAGTTATGCATCACTTAACAACAAGGGCACTTTCTGAGAAATGTGTCATTAGGCAAATCCATCTTTGTGCAAAGATCATAGAGCGTACTTACACAAATCTAGAAGGTATAAGTTACTACACACTTAGGCTATATGGAATAAGCTTTTGCTCCTAAGCTGCAAATCAATACAGCGTGTTACTGTACTGAATACTATACGCAATTGTAACACACTGGTATTTGTGTGTCTAAGCATATCTAAACATAGAAAAGGTACAGTAAAAATATGATATCAAAGATTAAATATGGTACGCCAGTATAGGGCACTTACCATAAATGGAGCTTGCAGAACTGAAAGTTGCTCTGGGTGAGTCGGTGAGTGAGTGGTGAGTGAATGTGAAGGCCTAGGAAATTATTGTACACTACTGTAGGCCTTATAAACATTGTATACTTAGGTTACACTAAATGTATTTTAAAACAATTTTTTTTCTTTTTTCTTTCCATTTTTATTTTTGGAGACAGAGTCCTGCTCTGTCATCCAGGCTGGAGTCACAATCACAGTTCACTGCAACCTTTGCCCTTCACCTCCTGGCCATAAGCAGTCCTCCCACCTCAGTCTCCCAAGTAGCTGGGACTACAGGCCTGTGCCAACACACTCAGCTAATGTCTTGCATTATCGGTAGAGATGAGGTTTCACCTTGTTGCCAAGGCTGGTCACGAACTCCTGGACTCAAGAAATCCTCTTTTCTAAGCCTCCCAAAGTGTTGGACTTAGAAGTGTGAGCCACTGCACCCATCCTATTTTTTTCCCCTTAAATAATAAATTAAACTTAGCTTACCGTAACTTTTTTCTTTATAAACTTTTTAATTTTAAAACTTTTTGATTCTTTTGTAAAAACACTTAGCTTAAAACAGAAACATATTTTACAGCTGTAAAAATATTTTTCCTTAGATTCTTATTCTATAAGCTTTTGTCTATTTTAATTTTTTTTTAACTTTTTGGTTAAAAACTAACACAAACACAAACCATAGCCTAGAGTACTGCCTTCTGGGACAACTCCTGAAGGATCTGCCTGAGGCTGTTTTACAGTTAACTTTATATATCTATATATATACATATATATACACATATATATGTGTATATATGTGTGTGTGTGTGTATATATATATATATAATGTTTTGGTCAATGATGGACTGCATATACAATGGAGGTCCCATAAGATTATAATGAAGCTGTGTATATATTTATATGTGTGTGTGTGTGTGTGTGTGTATATATATATATATATATGAAGTACACTCTAAAATAGGCCAGGCACTGTGTGGTGGCTCATGTCTGTAATCCCAGCATTTTGGGAGTCGAGGCAGGCAGATCACTTGAGGTCAGGAGTTTGAGGCCAGCCCAACCAACATGGTGAAACCCCATCTCTACTAAAAATACAAAAATTAGTCGAACATGGTGGTGCATGCTTGCAAATCCAGTTACTCAAGAGGCTGAGGCAGGAGAATCCCTTGAACCCAGGAGGTGGAGGTTGCAGTGAGCCGAGATCACGCCACTGCACTCCAGCCTGGGTGACAGAATGAGACCCTGTCTCAAAAAAAAGAGAGAAAGAATACACTGTAAAATAATGATTAAAAGTATACTGTAGTAAATATATAAACCAGTAATATCACGTTTATTATCAAGTCTTAGGTAATGCACATAATTGTAGGTGCTAAACTTTAATACGACTGGCAGTACAGTAGGTTTGTTTATGCCAGCATCACCACAGGCAAGTGAGTTACACGTTGTGCTACAATGCTATGTCACTAGGGGGCAGGAATTTTTCATCTTCATTATAATCTTATGGTACCACCATTGTATATGCAGTCCATCATTGACCAACACGTTATGCAGCACACGACTGTAGTTATTTTGGGTTTCAGCTTTTACTGAAGAGTCAATCTGTAATTAGTATCTCCACGTTTTATGTCTTCTATTCCACATATACCTTAAGTCCTTTGAAACCTCATCTCAATTTCACTAGAATCAATAAATGCCTTCACCAAGGCAATTATTTACACATGCATTTATTAATTTATTTATTGAGTTTTCTTTCATAAATACTGTTCAGTGCCACCCACACCTGAAGGAACTCATTTTCCCCAGCCACTGGGAAGGTTGTCAACTTACCTTACAGCCCTCTCCTAGAAATACCTCTGCTGAAAATGTGACCATGCCCAAGCTCACTCTGCCTTCTTCAGGCATCCCCCATCTAACAACTGGTCTACGTGGGTATAAAGACACTTCTATCATTACACAACACCCTTCTTTTCCCTGATAAACTTCCTTGCTTGAGGTCTTCTCTGTCTAAAATTTTCATTTAATTAAAAGCTTCAGTAATTTTTTTTAAAAAAATAACATACATGATGTGAATTTGAGCAACTCCAGGAGGAATTGCTTATGAGCCTTCTCTGGGTCTTGTCAGTGAGTAGAAGGTGGACGGTTTTGCTTCTGATTGTCACACTGACTTGTATCCCTTTGGTGCCCCAGCCTAATGGAAATACCCATGTATTTGACTCCTGACCTTGAGATGTGATCTGATCCTTTCAAGGCTGGGGAAACTAAAGGTCAGATTTACCAGGTTAAGCAAATGCTCACAAGAAAACACAGCTTTGGTGTTCTGCTTATATCTTTGTGTTCCCACCTTCACTTTGATTTTGGCCATATAGTTCCATACCATCTCATCAGATCTTTGGTAATTTTAGATGTTCATTTTAATGTTCTTCCTTTCCTTTTAAGCTAACCTTTTTAGTTTTCAGGAGGTGGACTTCTCCAAATCATTAACTTGTTACTGGAAATGAAACAAAAGCCAATTTGTTTTCATATTATTTTTATTAACACAAAGTCAGTTTCTCCCAGCTCCCACTAAACAAATGCTAAACACAAAGTATGAGTTTGATAGGATGCCAAATTACCAGCTTTCCTGGTCACTGCTTTATAATCCAGGGACCTTAATCTTTCACTCACTCAAGTAAATCAGTTCAGTGAATAATCACCAGAATATTGGTTCCACCTACCAGCTTCAAACTTTAAAACTCTCCTTTTTCTTATCAACAAATAGAAAGCACCTAAAAGTCCTTTTAGGCTTGGGTATAAGGAGAATCTGAGAACAACATGCTCCTCACAACAGCTGTCTGTGGTAGTATTTTTATATCTTTTTGTATATGAGGACATTTGTACAAAGAAAGATTGAGCAACAAAGTGGCATAAGAGAGGGGGCCAGGCCCAACAGCCCAGGGCCCATGTCCCTAACCTCTATGATGTGTTTGATTCTGACTCACAAGATGAAAAAAGAAAAAAAAAAAGGATTAATTCTTCTGCTTGTGTAGATTTGCAAGGGAGATTTTTTGCATCAGTTTTTGATACACAAGATTCCAATTAGTGATTAAAGATTTAGGTTGACTGTTTCTTCTCATTTTCCATAATTTATAGTTGTGCTATAAAAATCTTCTTCAGTCAGTGTTTCAAATTATGTGTTTTCCTTCTTCCTGTTTACATTACCTTGAAAGCATAAAAGTTATTTGAGAGAGAAATTAAATAATTTATGCCTCAGTTTATGTGATGACATTTAGAAAATAACACCTGGAAAACCATTTTCTTTAAAGAAAGTCAGTAACACAAAAGGAAGAAGTAAAAAGCAAAATGTCAGCAGCCCGTGGATGAAGGACAGCTTATTTCTCAGTAATTGACACATACTAATTATCTTTATGGAAGACCAAAGTGTATAAAATCACTGAGAGCATTTAGAGAAGAGGTGACTGAATTTACCTAAAAGCTTAACACAATATTTAACTTATGGTATTACAACATATTGGTACCACTTATGTTTACTTTTGAAATAAGTACATAACAATGAAGATATTCTATCGTATGTGGCAAAAACATTTATCTTTAAAATAAAATCCTTCTTGCTAAACACGCAGTTTATTGAGAGCCAAAGATACTGCCAGCTTTACCTAAGGACAATGACACACAAAACTAAAATGTTCTCAATTATTTTATAATTTTCCACTCTAAGAATAAAGAACTGTCCAAAATTATCAGAAATGTGTAGATGGTTTTTAATGTGAAATTTTATTCTCACATATAATTATGTCTTACATGCATTGTACTAGTTAGTAATGTTAGACAGAGTGGACATGAAATGGATAAATAGTAAAATTCTATATTGTAGGTGGGGAAGGGAGGAGCACAAAGGAAAATAGAGGTTGTTTGCAATGTGTGTAAGTTACATCAAAAAAATAATTCTGGCTGTAGCAGAAGAGTTGTCACCCAGTGATCTTCAACCTCAGTATTGCTCTTTTCTCCCACCCCATCCATCAAAATCAACAAAAAGAGCAAACTCACTCTCCTTCTTATTGCACAAAACATTATCCCACTCAGAATGGATGATGTGTACTATCCAGAAATCAAGAGCTTCAGGCAATTCATTGGAGTGAATTGTTTAAAGAAAAAATCATAGATGTTATCCATTGCACTGCTCTTCATACTAGCAAATGAAGCACATCTGTAATTAATACTGTTAATAGAGATGAACTTAATGTGTTTATTTTAGTAATTGCAGACTGAAAACCCCTGATAAATCTTTGCAACTACCACTTAGGTTTCCTACTACAAAATCCTCTTGATGTTACAGGCTGAAATGAAATTTAGACCCATGTAGTATAGAAATGTAGATCAGTAAGTGACAATGGAAACAGATGAGAAGGCAATCATAAGGACATCATGAGGGCAGAGATCATTTTTCTAGCTGTATCTGGCCGTGGCTTTCACTAAAAGCATAAAAACATAATGTAATGAGTCAATATCTTGATAGTAGTTTCTTTTCACACTTTAATTGTTTGGTAAATTAGATTAAACCCCTTGGCACCTTGAACTTATTATTAGTAGTTTCCAGGAGCAACTTCCAAAGATCCAAAATGTATAGTAATGTGTGCTTTATTAGAGAAAAGTATTTTTAGTGACACTGATTTCTAATATGAATTCCCTCATAAGGTGGTGCTTGTGTGTGACTTGCCTGGGAATTAATTGCACAATTCCTTAATTTACACTCATCCTTCTAGAAGGTGGGTATACTACTCTTGCCATTTTACAGAAAAAAAAGATGATTCTCTGGTCATTTGTGCAACTTGCTCCAGTTCAGATTACTAAGTAAATGCCAAATCTAGAATTTAGACCAAGGTCTTTTTCAATTCTAAATGTATGTTCTTTCTGGCTGCTTTCTTTTGCAACTGTTTCTGTTTTTTTTTTTTTTTTTTTTTTTTCTGTTTTCTAAAGTGAATGCAGGTAATTAAGAAAAACTGAACAATAATGGCAGCATTTATGGAATAAATGCAGAGCCCTTAAAAATGACATTATTAAAGAATATGTTCCATTTGAATATACAAGTTTATTTTAGATTTATTTTTAGGCATACTTTGTCTACCTTGAATTGTATAGTCTCGTCAAAGAGGTCCACATCCCAAGCTATATTAATAAGCATATACTCTTTCTTTTCCTAAAAGCAGTTATTTCAGCCAAAGCAGAAAGTTTTTATTTATCTGCTTGTGCAGAGATTTCCTGATCCAATACTAGCACAGATTTATGAATTTAGTGATTGCAGCAAGGATCCATCTAAACTAAGCTTATGGTCAGAGAATAGTCTTTTGCCCGCATGCAGCTTCTATTAGTGGTTGCCTTCTTACTCTGATGTACAATCTCATCTGTGTTACCTAACGTAGTAGGAAATGAAAACATTGCCAACATGAGACAATCAGCTTGCAAATATTTTATCCCCTGGACCCCCGTTATAGTAAATCACATTTCTGCTATGTACTAGCCTTTTAAACTTTTATCATAATAGCAAAAGCTTTGAGTTAGTTACTTTGTGCTCATTTTGTAATGAGATGGGGAAATCTCTTGTCATATATTGTATATATACATAAAGTCATGGATTCCTTCTAGGATTTCTTAACCTATAAGATAAACTTGGTGTTTGAAACATCTCTCCCCATTTCATCCTAACAAATACTCCCTCTGCAAAGAAAAGCTCATTAGCTTTATAATCTCTCAATTAATGATAAAATGCTATATCCATACACAAATATATATTTCTCTTGCATCTTCAGTCACTTAAGTGTATCCTGTAAGTACTCTAGGAATGGGAACTTGTCACAAGTTTTAGCACGTATTTGATAGGGATGCTTTCAAAATAAGCTCACATTCCTAAGACAGCACATGTGTGATTTATCTGCCTAGAATGTTTACTTCACTCTGGAAATTGTAGAATGCCCATGTGTCCTAAATTGTTGAATGCCCATTTGTCCTAAGTCTCTGCTTAAATATTTGTACTTTTTTTGTGATCCAGATCCTCTATTCTCTGGCCAGGTAGACATATTCTCTATTTTTCCATAATACTTCTAATAGAGTATGTATCACATAGTTTGGTATTTTCATAAATAAATGGTAACAACCTTCTCTTGGGAGTGTTCAGTGGGTGATTGTGGTGAAGCCCAGGTCAGAATGATACCTATTGTTTACTCCATAAAGTCTAGTTTTCTAGGCTGTGATTGCTGTGAAACAGTGGATTCTCACAGAGGCCAAGAAGCAGCCCCAGAATCCAGATGCTAATACTCATTCCCTTTCTCTTCTCTTTTTCTTAGCCTAAGACAGACATCAAGTAGAGACTTCCCAGGTAAGGGTAGAAATCAAGAGCAGTGTGAGGGCAGCACATAGAGAGAACCACCTTAGGTTCTATCTTAAAGCACATCTCTGCTCACCCATTCAGAGTGTGTTCAGACAGCAGGCCTTTGGGTCAGGTGCCTCCCTGTCTTTTGCTTGAAATCAGGGTGATAGGATCACTCCAAATGCCTTGACAAATTAGAAAGAACCACGTACGTAGGTGCCTTTAAGCAGCCAGATTCTGAATTGTTATTAGAAACAATGACACCCTGGATGAGAAACTGGCTAGCATGGAGAATGAGGATGTCAGTTTCTCCCGAGTTGACATAGTTTACTATTTTACTGAATTGCTGATAAGCCTCCATGAAAAACATTCAATTTACCAGGTTAGGTGTTCAGCTACCCAAAGTGATGGATAAAGAAGCAAAGTCCCAATGGTTTTGAATTTTATCTCCCCTCAATATTAGAACATTTGCATCCTTACATTTAACTTAGGAAAATTGACAATCTTTTTTTGGTAATTCTGCTATGTTTCATCAATATATTTCACTGCCTTGATGAAAAATAAGTTGCGTTTTAGTTGAAATAGTTCACACATAATCGATAGAGTACCTACCAGAATTAGAGTCAAAGAGGCTCCCTTTTCTTAATTCAAAATTTTCCCAAAAGAATATTTTGTTACGATAATATGCTTGTATTTTGATCATAATTAGCAAGTTATTTTAGGCTTCTAATCAGAAAACAGTTGAAGTGACTGTGCCTTTTTTTTGTATATGTCATTTGCTCTAAAGTCTTATATTTTGTTTCAGTACTCAAGAGCAAACAAGTTTACTTACAAAAACTTTTTAAGAGAACTTGAAAATAGAATGTATCATGCCCATCAGATTTTGTCCTGGGATCCTGGCAACTATATGTATTATAGAAAATTAAATTTAAATATTCCATAAGTTATCAAGGAAAAAACTTTAGTTGCACTTTCTTATTGTGGAATGTCCCATATACAAATTAATACAAAGTTTCCTATGAGATGGATAACAGACCTATATGTGAAAAGCAAAACACTATCACAAAGTTTAAAAATTCATAAACATGCTTAAAAGCATTTAAAGTTTTTAAAAAACCTTTATTATTCCATTTAAATATGGTATTCATTTTTTTAATTTGTCTTTGGTAAAAAAAATTGCAAATACAAAGTAACAATGAAAGAGATAACACTGGAACAAAGAGCTCTATTATATATGATTTTTTTGTTAATTACATAACAAGTTAAAGCATAGCTTCCTTTAAAATACAGAAAATCTTTCATCTTTAAGAATTTGATTACCCTTAATATAAATAAATTTAAAGTTTTCACATAGTAAAATGCCATAAGTTCTGAGAATATTAAATGTACTAGTTGTCCTATCACAGGGAATTATCTGAAATAATGAATACTGGTCAGGGCCAAAGAATTTACCGAAAGTACTTTTCCTAAAGCAGAAATGACCTCAAATTATTACATAGGTATTTGGCCCTGATACTCCTATTGTGGTAAGCTATGTAAACAATTTAAGTATAATTTGGAAGCCTAGGGTGGCAGATATTTTTATCCATCATAACTAAAGCTCCTTTCTCCTTCAGCAACTGAAAAGTGTTAGATATTTATCCTCATGGTCTTGGTAGGAGCTGTGGAATTCTATAATTCTGAAAAAAAAAAAGGTTTCTATCTGAATGATGTAGGATCTGCAGCATCACAAATTTAGGGAAAAGATGAATATAAGCATTAGAATGAAGCAGATTAGAAAACAAGTAGCTAGTGGTATGAATAAAAAAATAAAAATATCACTTGAAGGACTGAACACTGTATTTACACTAATTATACAAAATTCAGGGTATCCACATTCAAACATAGAGTTGAAAAACAACTCTATTATGTCTAGGAAAGACACAGAGAGTTTCTGTGACAAAGAGAGTTTCTGTGTCTTTCCTAGATATGAGGACTTTGACAGTATGTCATGTTTTTTCATTAGTACTTTTAATGGAGTTTTCTTTTGAATTGAGTGAAGTTGTGTAAGATGCACTGTTTGCAACAGCAACAAAGAGAATTCACATACCAACAAAGGACTTTATTAGTGCAAATTCATTTGAATATTTACAAGCATATATGATAGTGCATTTCGATGCAATCTAAGAAGGAATACATTACATGGGAAACTGTCTTAATATTTTCATTATACCGTGCAGATTTCTAGAAAAATCGACAAGCAATAGTCCTGTCTTAAGCACAGAATTTAAAATAAAGTTTACCTCCATTACAGACAAGAAAACAAAAAATTATCGGCCTTATAAATTTTAGTATGAGTACTTAAATTAGGTACTTCACAGATTTATTTTCATTAATTAATGAACGAAAGTAACTGGTATTTATAAGAAATATAACATTGTGTTTTAAATAGTTCTTTAAAATACACATTTACTGGTAAGTATTTTTACATATATTTAAATTAAAAATAATAACATTCCTTCATACACACGAGCTATTTCAAAAAATGTGAGTACCCTTTCCATGTGAACATTTTTAAAATAAATATTTACAAGAGGAGAGAATAATTTTCCTATCCAAAGACAATTCCTATTTCTCTCTTACTCAACAGATGTTCGTCTCATTTTTTCAGCTAATTCTTTTCTCACTTCAATGTGTTTTTCTAAATTTTGCACTTCATGTGGAAGATTGATGTCCCAAACGGTCAAGCAAGATTGTATCTCTAGAAAAAGAAAAAAATGAAATCATGTTTCAAAGATCCATCATAAAACATTCTTATTTTATTTCAGTTTGGCTCATGTATTTTTAGTTGACTTAGATAAATGTAAATATAAACACAGCTATAACTAATGTACTAAATTATTATTTATAAAAAACTATACTTGGAAAAGTTTTATAATACATTATAGAAACTATTAAATTTCAAATAGAGTATCAACATTTAATAAATTAACATTTCATATTCTAAAAGAAATAAAAGCTTTTTCAAACACTGTTCAAAATTAGACATTATGTAGATATAGATAAGTTGTAAAAAATATTCACATTTCGTTTAAGGTTGAGCTAGTGATTGACACCTCTACTTCAGCTGAAAATATAAATATTTAACACTTCATATCACTTGTAATTTTGAAAATTTATGTCTAAGTTCTTTACACTATAAACTACCAATTAAAATTCCTGATTATACCATATGTAATATTTTCTACAAATTTATGAAACACATAATATGTTACCATCATTCACATCATTGCCCTGTTTGGAAAACAGTATCCTTCTAAATGTTACCTTTCTGCTTTTGTGTACCTTCAGTATTTTTCCGGTTGTAGCCCAATACCAGCATGACATTTTTAAGGCTTCCTTTACAAAAACAAAATATGTAAGTTTTCTGTTAAAACTATATATTAAACTGGCCTGAAAAAAAAGTAAAGTTGTTCATAGTTTAAGACACAAATACCTTGGAACTGAATTCACAATTCTATTTTCTAGGTGACCCTTCAATTATATTGAATAAAGACCAGCATTTTTTTAAAAAATAACAAAATCTGTGATCCACTCCTTGCTGCAATTCTTAATTATGTGAGTCTGAGAAAACAGCTTAACCTTTCTATAAAATAGGCTCAGTATTTATACATTACCCTTCCCAAAGTTACAATGTTAAACGAGGTAATGTGTGTGAAAAGTTCTTTGGATATGGTAAGGTACAAATATGAGTATTTAGTACAAATATGAGTATTTAGATGGACACTTAGATGGATGGATATACTGATACTATGTCAAAATATCATATTTTCTTTTCAAATCATTCACTAATTTATTCAACAAATTTGCATCAAAAGTCTTCTATGTAGGCCCTAGGCTAGATCCTGGGAAAAAAGGGGTAAACAAAAACACACTAACCCAACCGTCTTGGAGTTTATATTCTAGTGAAGAGACTAGCATTAATGAAAAAAAAATATGACCATGATCAAAACTATGCAAGAAAGCTGTTATGGGAACCCAAAGCGGGAACTTTGACCTAATCAGTGTTGGCTTCTCAGAGGTTTTGACACAGGAGCTAACATTTCAAAGCATATGAGTTAAATAAGCATGAAAAAAAGCTATGTTAACTAAGCAAAGAAATAAACAGCATGTGCAAATCCCTGAGGCAAAATATAGCATAGTAATTGAGAAGAACTGGATGTTCATCTAGACAAGCAAGATCTGGTAGGAATGTGGTAGATGATGGAGGCAGGAGAGGTACAGTGAAGCCAGCTCATGCAGCACCTTGTAGGCTATCCTCCAATTGATCTTTATTTTAAAATCAAACTATAACCCATAGACATTCCACTATAACTTCAGTTATAAGCAAGCTATTTGGGTCCCAAAGTACATACAATTCAACTAGAGAATGCAACAACTTTGGTAGAATAAGACTACTGAGACAACCTATTGAGAGACCTACTGCTCTGCTTGTGTGGACATGTATCTTAATAGTTTACAGTCATTAAGAGCATCTAATTGTAACTCCTGTGCAACTCTAAAGTCTATAAATGAAAAATAGGTGAAGGTGCTAGAAAAACACATGTTCCTCTTTCACATATACTTGCAATGAATATATTTTCTTCACCATGTTCAAAACATTCATTATTTGCTAAAGTTACATAAATTCTAGTTTTTTTCAGAATTAAACCCCATAGTGTCGTTTTTGTAAACTTTTGTATATATGCTATTATTGTTATTTTCTAAAACAAATTATTATCAAAGGAAGACGCAAATATATTTATGCAGAAAATATATTTTATGTGCTATCACAATTTTATCATATTTAAATATAAAAATAGAAGCAAAAAAAGACAAAGTTTGAGTAAAATATGATTTGTCAATATTTGTAGGTTGTGCAGTTCAGCATGTATTGCTGCAAGAAAAAAGATTTGTTATAGAATGAAAAACCAAATGAGATTCTTTAACAAGCTGGGAGGCTAGACTATGATTAAAACAAACATTTTCTTTATTTTCTTTGCTCAAAAAGTAAAATATATTCAATACCATGTATTTCCCATTTTTGCCTTAGGTAAAAAGGAAAAAAGCAAGTAAGACCCAAACTGAGTGTTCAGCTGCAGTAATCTGCTTCTCTTGTGGGACTGAGAGCATTTACTCCCTCCACTTCTGTAATGACCCTATTCACAATTTATACCAGTCTTATGTTTCACTGTGTGACCCTCCAAGACCATCCATATGACACTGGAAAGTTCAGAGAAAATGTAAACGTAAAATAAAGGCATATTTTATAAGACTTAGAGAATATGAAAAATATCTAAAGGAAAGAAACTTGCCTAGCTGTGCTGTCATCATGACTCTGACCGAATTACAAAAGTTGTAAATTACACGTATAAGTCGACGAGTTGAAAGATCCAGGAGTAAAATATGGCCTCCTCCAGTTCCTATCCAAAGAGCAGTGTTCTTCTGAAGGCAGAGGGTTTTCACTCTCCCAGAATAAGACATTTTGTGTTTTGATTCCTTGTTTTCTTTTACCATTACCTCCCTAGAACCATAAAGTATACATTAATAATTTTACCACCAATTAAGAGATAAATGCTATTTACATATGATAACATAAACAACATTTTAAATTATTAAAACATGACACCACCACCATTATGCATCATTAAAATTATACAAAGCAAATTTTGCTAAATACAGATGCCAAAGAGCCACACTTCTTTACTTGAAGCATAAATTATCAAAGATAACAATAGCCCTTCATTTTCAGGAAATTATGAATAAGAGGGATACAATTTTTATAAATACCAAAGCTATCTAATTCAGTAAAAATAGCATACATGTGCCCAGGATAAAGAAAAAAAAAAGTTAGAGTCAAAAGTTTTACATGAAGTCTCAATGTTACAAAGGAACATAAAATTATAGTCATTCACATGTAAAAGATATCGATACAAACCACTGAATTTTTTCCCAGAACCAGTGAATAGTCTAATTCATGACAAAAATGAAGTGTCCAGAAATAAAAGAATCCTAATCGTTTTGGTACTTCAGGAAGTAAGGAACCCTTTATCAAGGAGACCTGTTGGCCCTTCTGAACATAAACTGTGAGCCCTTCTCACAATCCATAGAAAAACTGTCAGATGAATCTAAGACAGGAAACTTTGAAGTATCCTTTTACAGATATAGTGTGTAATCTAAAATGTTCTCAAGAGTATCATAGATCTATATGGTAAAATCAAAACAAAATAAAAATATAAAGTGGCTAGCAAATAAGCTTGAAAATGGTCCTGTTTCTCAGCACCAGCACAGAAAGAATGTGCTTGCTATGGATTTGTCACTCACAGGCTGCATCAGACTAAGCACTATGCTCTCATTCTGGGGTCTTGATCCCCACTCCTTAGCGCCTCGGTCAGTCCATTGCATTTCCCCCCATATTTGTCTATTATTTTGTGACTCTTTTTCTTTAGAGCAGATAATCCTGGGGCCCATAATTTAATTATAAATAGTATATTTGACACTGTGACAGAACTATGTCAAAGCTAGCAGAGACTCCAATATGCTCATTTTCAATAATGTAGTATTTTCATTCGAGAACATTCTTTGTAATACCATGAGAAAACTATGCACATTATGTGCCTATTCTTTTATGTTCTGAAGACAAAATTTTCTTGATCTGAAAAGATGGTGCTGAGAAGCATTACAAATTTTTTTCTGCATTTTAAAAAAATTCTCTATTCAGAGGCAGAAAGGAAGAAAAATCCTTCCTCTGTGACACATGAAGTGCAAAGATAATTCTTTTGGGAATAAAATTAAAAACCACAGAATTTACCTTAAAAAGTGCACGCAGTCTATTAGTCCACAGAGTTTTTCAGTTTTCTTATCCCACACTTCCACAACAGGGCTATTTTGCTTAGCAATATAGAGAGCAGTGTCTACCACCACTGTTATGATGTTGGAATCACTGAAAGCTGCATAAGAAAACCTACAGAGAAAAAAAAATAGAAAGTCATCACTATTTGTTTTCTTCTTAAAATTTCTACGTGTAATACAACCTTATATTAGTTCTTAATGTAAAAACACTATTTTGAAAACTAAACAAGCTAGACTATTGCAATTATTTCATATTCTTCCCTAACCATTCTGAATTGAATATATAACATGCTTTGGTACTTTACTTACTTTTGGTTACTTTATATTAATTTCTTGTGATAATAAAATAAAGATTATGTCCAATGTTTACTTTGGTCTTACTTTTAGTTTCAATTCTATGTGGCTCTTTGTAGAATTTTGTACTATATCTAAATTTCTGAAGGAAATATTATATCTGTAACTTTTGAATGTTCTTGCAAAACTTTGTTTCATGAATGCTCAGAAAATTAAGTGTTAGCCTTTTATACCTAGAGTTATAAAATATAAAATGCTGAAATAAAATTTAGTTGCAGTGTCTTCAAATTTTAAAGCAAGGGATATCTTTGCAGTTAAGCCAGTCAAATTATAGAAAACAAAAATCCACATCATCCAAACATAAACAGAAAGTAAAATATTTGCCATTTTCCCCTTTTAAACATAAAGAAAAATTACGAACACCTTAAAATATTTCCCTTTCAACCTAAGACATCTGGCATTGTACATATTTCACAAACAGATTGGCTACCTTGGGCCACATCAGCATGGCAAACTCCTACTTGGCCTTTGAGGATGAACTTAAATGTCGGCTCCTCTGGATTTCTTCCCTGACCTATCAAAATAGACCAACCAGTCCCTTTTCCCCACTGGTGTCACTGTCATATTATAGACCTTATTAAATATAAAATTGTCTTTATTAGTGCATCCCTCACACTAGATTATGAGTGTAATTTCATAAGGATGAGGACAATGTATTTTCTACATACCCCTCGTCCAGTAAACAGTTGCACAGATAAGCACCTCTGATATAATCAAGCAGTCTGTTAAGTGGGGGAATAGAAGAAGGCACTACAGTATGAATGAACAACGAGGAATATGTAAAAATAGTCAAAATTGCATTTAAATCAGATAGATAACATGAAAATACCATAAAGATTTAACAATCATTAGTATATCCTAGAGTAGGAAGATTTTTTTTCCTCCCCCTTTTCTTTCTATTCTGGAAAAGGAGGTAAAAATATGATGTGTTGTCAGAGAGCCACTACGCTTTAGGTAATTCCTTCTTGGATATTTGCTGTATTTAATAGAAAATAGTTCCAATTAGGACAAAGTTTTGCATGGAATTTCCGTATTTTATAAAATACTTTTGTGTGTTATCTTGCTTGATCCTTAATAAAAAAACATAAAATATGATAAATCTCAATGTTTTTAATAGTAGAAAGAAACATGTACAAATGCTAAATAATTTGCTCAAGGTCCTATGACTAACATCATGCTTGCCGACCTAGGACTAAAAACATGTTGCAGACCTAGAACTCCAAAAGTCCTATGGAGTCTTCCGGCTTCAAAGGCAGTCATCTTTCATTACCCAACATGCCTCTCAGTCGGTGTGTACTGATGATGATGAGGGTACTGATGATGAGGCAACCCCTGATTAGTGATGTGATGTCTGTTTTGTGGGGTAGAGACCAAGGCCACAGGAGATACTTGTTCAGAAGAGAGCAAATATTTATATTTAAGTGTTTATGCATCTAGGTCCCAATCTCTTTTGGGAGATGAGCATCTTTGAGAGCTTGATCTTTATGGATGCTCTCTAGTAAAGCATCTATGCTCCAAATCTTATATGGAACTTTAAAGAGTTAACTGATATCCATAATCCCATAAAATGTGCTATGAAATAAAAAAATAAACTGGAGGCCCTTTCTTTTTAAAGGTTTTCAGGCTTGTATAATTGGGTTAAAAGTGGAAATTACAGGAAGGGGAGCAAAGATGAAAAACTACCTATCAAGCACTATGCCCACTTTCTGGGTTGTGAGTTCAGTTGTATTCCAAACCTCAGCATCACGCACTATACTTTTGTAACAAACCTGCACATGTATTCCTGGAATCTAAAATTAAATTTGAAAAATAAAAATAATAAAAGACATTTTTACATTCATTTTTTAAAATGTGGGTATTACAGAATGAGAATGAGTTGATCCAAATGTTAACCACATACTAGTAAATAAATATGTAAAGACAGAAATAAAAATCCTCATTCATGGGAACTTATAATACACTGCACTCCGCAGTATATCTTAACCTCAAATATACTTTAGAATCACTTGAGAACCTGAAAAAAAAAATCTGATCCCCATCCCAGGCTTAACTGGTCTGATTTAATTGGTCTGAGGTAGGGCCCAGGTATCATATTATTTTCAGCTACCTAGTGGTTTCTAAATGCACAGCCAATGTTGAAAGCCAGTAGATTTAGTGGTATTGAGAAACTACTTTAACAAATACAATTATAGCTACTGTGAAGGAAAACATTAGATGCAATGGAAGCACAAAGTCACCTAACCTGCCACTCAGAGCAAGTGGTGCTTGGACTGAAATAGGCAGGGGGCATAATAGTCATCCAGGTAAGGAGAAGACCACATTCAAAGGTTGGGGGTGAAAGGTAATAACAGGTTGTCTTAGAGATCTGAGTCAATTTCAGTTTGGGTAAAGCACAGATGGCAAAAAGCTTGCAAAATATGAATCTAGACAGGTAAGCAAGCACTGAATTATGAAGGGCCCAGTAGGCTGTCTTAAGGAATTTGGACTTCATATAAAGGACAATGGGATACCACTGAAGGGTTTTAAGCAGGAAAATTGCATCAGATTGATGTACATTTTAGAAAGGTCCCTCTGTCTGCAATGCTGAAAATATGTTGAAGAGAGTATAATCAGAGGGTGAGAACTGGATGCTCTTGTTAATGTGGCCACAGATAATGGATGGCAGTCTGGCCCATGGTACCAGCACTGAGAACAGTGAGAAGTACAAAGATTCAAATGACAATTAGGAGGGTCAAGTGGATAAAGGGAGCAAAAAACAAAGGAGTCAAAGATTACTCCCAAGTGCCAATCTTGGGAAATTTGATGGATAATGGGAAACCAGGATATTCCCTAAGGTAGGGATTTGTGACTCAAAGCTAATAATAATAATAATAGCTAATGTTTATTGACAGCTTACCAGGTGCTGGTCATTATGTTAATTAAGATCCATATATTAACATTCTTATTTACTCCTCCAAATATCTCTTTGAGATAGAGAATATTACAATCCTCAGGTAAGAGATGACTGAAGATGTGAAAGGTTATTGCCCAAGTTCACAAAACCAATAGATGGCAAAGCAATATCTGAACTATGATTTATGCTCTTATCCACAATCCTATACTGCTTATCACTGAGGAATGTGATAAATAAGAACCAACTGCAAAGATTTGATTAAAATACCACTGAAAAAAAGCAAACTTGAAAGAGGTTTATATTAATATTTTATTTTATTCTTGTTTGAAACTGGTATCACTAACTTGGCTGTGAGTAGACATCTGTATAATTATCAAATCTAGAAACAACTTTGGACAAGCAAGAATACTTGCTGTCTATCTTTCCTACAATCAATACTTAATGGAAGTTACCCAAATTGCATATGTATAGTCCGTGAATTTGGTGAAATACAAAGTTGATTGTCTTCCAATTTCATGTCTAATTTGAAACACAGATAATAAAAATTGTTAAAAAATTTAGATTGATAAATACTACTAAGATTACAATGAGTTTACATATTTTATCCCTAAAAGTGATTAGGTTGAGTGACTTCTTAAAAATACCCTTCTGCTTTCTGGAATTTTCAAAATTTTTTATAATGAAAGTTTAATTTTATGATAGAAAATAAATTATGCATTTTAAAAGATCTTCCTTATGAATTATCAACAGTATTATTAATGATTATAAGGAAAAAACAAAAGTATAATGATAAATTACTTGTACAGATAAAAAATAACTTACAGTTGGCTTGTTCTTGTCTCAATGAGTTTCTGAATGGTGAAATCATTAGAAAAGGAGAAAATCTTTGTGCCACATCCTCCCCACATTACATTTCTTTCCGTTGAATTTGTGGATTCACTCAAACACATCAATGGAGTACTGACATTTCCTATATTTAGTATCTTCAAAGGAGCAGCTCCTTTAAGCTTTGCCAAAAAAAAAAGAAAACACACTCAGCAAATTGAGTATCCACAGAACAAAACTCCATAAAATCTGTGCTTTCAAAAAACTACTTTCCATCTTAAATGATTAGAGATATTAAAATTAAAACTCAAAAACCTAAAGATTCCATTAAAAAAAACTCTTAGTTCTGATAAATGAGTATAGTAAAGGATTCAAAATCAACATACAGAAATCAGTAGCATATCTATACAACAACAACAACAAAGTAGCTGAAAAATCAAGAAAGCAATCCCATTTGAAGTAGCTACAAAAAATTAATAAAATACCTAGGAGTAAATTTAACAAAGATGATGAACGATCTCTATAAGGAAACCTGAAAAACATGAAAGAAATTGAAGAGGACACAAACAAATGGAAAGATATTCATGCTCACAGACTGGAAGAATTAATATTGTTAAAATGACCATACTACCCAAAGCAATCTACAGATTCAATGAAATTCCCATGAAAGCTCCAATGATATTTCTCACAGAAATAGAAAAAAAAATTTCTAAAACTTGAGTGGAACCGAAAAAGAGCCAAAATAGCCAAAACAATCCTGAGCAAAAAGAACAAAGCTGGAGGCATCACACTACCTGACTTGAAAATATATTACAAGGCTAGAGTAACCAAAACAGCACAGTATTGGCAAAAACACAGGTAGGTAGACCAATGTAGAGGACCCAGAAATAAACCCACATATTTAAAGCCAACTAATTTTCAACAAAGGCACCAAAAGCATACATGGGAGAAAGAATACCACCTTCAATAAATTGTGCTGGAAAAGCTGGATATCAGTATGCAGAAGGATGAAAGTAGGCCCCACTCTCTCACCATTTACAAAATTCAACTCAAGATGGATTAAAGACTTAAATGTAAGACCAGAAGCTATGAAACTATTAAAAGGAAACAGGGGAAACATTTCAGAACATTGGTCTAGACAAAGAGTTTATGGTTAAGATCCCAAAAGCACAGGCAACAAAAACAAAATTAGACAAATGGGACTATAATAAACTAAAAAGCTTCTGCACAGCAAAGGAAACTATCAACAATATAGAGAGGATCCATTAAATGTGAGGAAATATTTGCAAACTATTCATCCAGAATACACAAGAAACTCGAAAAAGCAATTCAACAGGAAAAAAAAAAAAGAACTCCATTTAAAAGTAGGCAAAGGGCTGGGTATGGTGGCTCATGCCTGTAATCCCAGCACTTTGAGAAGATGAGGCAGGAGGATTGCTTGAGCCCAGGAGTTTGAGATCAGTCTGGACAACATAGTGGAGCCGCATCTCTACAAAAAATAAACAGCCAGGTATGGTAGCACACGCCTGTAGTCCCAGCTACTCGTGAAGCTGATGTTGGAGGATCACTTGAGTGCAGAAGGTCAAGGCTGCAACAAGCTATGATCATGCCACTGTGAGCCAGCCTGGGTAAGAAAGCAAGACCCTGTCTTAAAACAAAACAAAAAGTTGGCAAAGGATCTAAATAGACATTTGCAAAAGAAGACATAGTAATGGCCAATGGATATATGAAAAAAAATGCTCAACATTAACTAATCATCAGTAAAAATGCAAATGAAAACCACAATGAAATCTTCTTCACCCAATTAGAATGGCTATTATAAAAAAGACAAAAAATAACATGCTGGCAAGGATGCGGAAAAAAACGAATGCCCATATGCTATTGGTGTGTATGTAAATTGCTATAGCCACTACGGAAAACAAAATGGTGATTTCTCAAAAAAATTAAAAATAGAACTACCATACAATCCAACAATGTTACTACTGATACTAATCTAAAGGAAAGGGAATCAGTATATCAAAGGGATTCCTATATCCCCATGTTTATCGCAGCACTATTCACAATAGCTAAAAAAAAAAGTGGAATCAACCTAAGCACCCATGAATGAATGAATGCATAAAGAAAATGTGTGTATTTACATAACGGAATACTATTTGACCATAAAAAGGAATGAAATCATGTCATATACAGCAACATGGATGGAACTGGAGGTCATTATGTTAAGTGAAATAAGCCAAGCACAGAAAGACAAATATCACATGTACTCACTCATATGTGGGAGCTAAAAAAGTTGATCTCATGGAGGTAGAGAGTAGAATGATAGTTACCAGAGGCTTGGGAGGATATGGGTGTGTGGGAGAAGGGGAGGATGAAGGGAGGCTGGTTAACGGGTACAAACATACAGTTAGATAGGAGGAATAAGTTCTAATGTTCAATAGTACAATAAAGTGACTACAGTTAAAAACATTTCAAAATAACTAGGAGACTTGAAATGTTCTCAGCACAGAGAAATAAATGCTCATGGTGATGGATATCCTAAATACCCTGACTTGATCATTACACATTCTATGCATGTAACAACATATCACATGTACCCCATAAATATGTACAAATATTATACATAAAAAAATTTAGGTCATATTCGAAATATTATTGTTACATTCAATCTATTCTTTTTCCCATGTAAAAATTACAAAAGAAATAACCTAAGGGTTATACTCTACTTCCCTGTCTCTCATCAGATAATAAGCTTTTTGGCAATAGGAGAATGAACGGGTAGGAAGTTGAGTGAATAGATGGAACCAAAGATGAATAGATGGATAGAGAAATGAATGCTTTAATGACTAAATAGGAATCTGAAGAAAAGAAAATTAAATGATTTCTTCAATGCTTAAGAAAAAGTTAATGGCAAGCCATATTTAAAACTTAAGTATATTTTTGTTTTTTTTCCACAATATATTTATAAGGAATTATCTGCCTCAGTTATGTACAAATTGAATTATTTCCATTCCCAATATTATCAATCAGATGTCATTTATCATTTTATTCTTAGTTCATTCATATAAAATATACAGTCAATCAGCAAGTATTTTCAGAGGATCTACTGTGTTCAAGATTTTATGAAGCAATACAAATACAGCATAATTTATGATTCTTGCTCTCAGGGAGTTTATAATCCCATAAGAGGGGTGTGAGATATATATAAAACAAAAGACTTAAAATAAATTTAGATGTAGAATGCATTCAACATTTACCTTAACAGTCTTATCTTCAAAAATTGCTAACTTGCCATCAGCGGTTCCAACCAAAAGAAAATTTTTTTGTTTGCTAAAAGGAAAAATGTTGAAATTGTTACAAAAAGAACATGTATGTTGACTAAAATGGCCTTAATGTTCTCCTCCACTTTATTAAACTTTAGATAGACTTCTCAACTATAAATTCCTAACCTCCCTTTTCTTAGAGTATTTACTTTAGAAGACTTGGAATTATAAATTCTTTCTCTGCCCCTTTTCCCAGACTCTTCCCAGTTTTATACCCCAAGAATGTCTTTTCCAAGGACCTGGGAGCCATTCCTTTGAAATGTAATTATCAAGACAGAGGCCTGGCGTGGTGGCTCACACTTGTAATCCCAGCACTTTGGGAGGCTGCGGTGGGCAGATCACCTGAGGTCAGGAGATTGAGATCAGTCTGGCTAACATGGTGAAATCCCGTTTCTACTAAAAATGTAAAAAATTAGCCAGGTTTGGTGGTGCACGCCTGTAATCCCAGCTACTCAGGAGGCTGAGGCTAGAGAATCGCTTGAACTTAGGAGGTGGAAGTTGCAGTGAGCCAAGATCATGCCATTGCACTCCAGCTTGGGCAACAAGAGCAAAACTCCTTCAAAAAAAAAAAAAAGAAGAAGGAAGGAAGGAAGGGAGGGAGGGAGGGAGGGAGGGATGGAAGGAAGGAAGGAATTCCCCAGTGTCTGTGGGAGAGTAGGAGCCTACCTTCAATAAGGGACAATTAGCAAACACAGATGGCCTAATCACATTGACAACTGCTCCCACTTCCTTCCAACAAGGTGCTCCAGTACGTTTCCATTAGCTCACCCCTGCGCTTAAAACTCTCCCACCTTTTGTTTCAGTGGAGTTTAGTTCAGTCTGATCTCTCTCCCCTGCTGTGATAGGCTTGAATAAAGTCGTCCTTGCCCAATTCCATCCATTGAAATTTTTCTTTGACCATATTCAAATAATTTCAACTCCGAAACTGCCAGTGGAGTTGATATTTCAGGTACAAAAAACAGGCTTCACATTTTTCTAGTACTTTTTTTCCAATACTAACTTAAACCAGAGAAATATATAGGGTATAATCTTAATGCCTCCTGGAAATCATCCTGCCCCAAATATTACAGTCACCAACCTACAACTCACACCTGAAATTTTGCTATGTAGATATATTTCTTTGGGACAAGAACCCTGCAATTGATAAGAGCTAAGTCATTTTCACCTATTAAGAATTTATTAATTCATTTATTTAATTTTTTTCTTAATTTGGTAGTTAGATAACTGGTATGTTTAAGCCTGGCACACAATGGGTTTCATATATATATATATATATATTTTTTTTTTTTCAAAGAATGAATGAATGAGAATTTATCCTTGAAGAGGCCCTACAAAGATTCATTGATCTGAGGAGAAGTAAAGAGATAGAGCCACAGTTGAGGTAATACCAGGAGCAGGGCTGGTAGGCCTGAATAAATGGTTGACTTATTTTATAAATGTCTCAGCTAGATCTGTATTCAGAAAAACAACAAATATCTCTGTGACCTTCCACAATTCCCTTTAATATATGCAAACCAATGAAAATAGGCTAAAAATGAACAATCTTTGCTGATGCAATAACAATTATGCACACAATTCAGTCGTTTAAAAGATCTGTAATTTCCCCATTGATCAAATTCACTACCATACCTTTGCTTGGAAAAGGAATTGCAATACAAACAAGTGACAGAATCAGTCATCTTTTCTAGGGTATGTCTCTTTTTCCCATCTTCGGTATTGATGACCAGGAGAGTACCAGACTGTGTCCCAGACACAATCCAGCTTTCCTTTTCAACAGGAAGATGCACCAAGGCTAAGCACAATATTCTACTATCAGCAACTTCCTGTTAAGAAAAGAAAATATACTTAGCAGGATTTGATTTAAGCTTAAGCAACTAGAACTTGTACAGAATAAAGGATTCTGTTATCAACATAACTCTTTTTGCTTTCTTGCATTACTTTTAAAAACAATGCCAATTTTATTTAATTTTCAGCAATAAATGAGTTAATTGGCAGACAAGTTTTGCCTATCAAGATGACATCTGAAACTAAAATTAAAAATTATTTTTCAGTGTGAATTCTCATTCCTTCAAACCATATAAGAAGATTGTTCCTCTCCCTCTCCCTCTCCGTCTCCCTCTCCCCATGGTCTCCCTCTCCCTCTCTTTCCACCGTCTCCCTCTGATGCCGAGCCGAAGCTGGGCTGTACTGCTGCCATCTCGGCTCACTGCAACCTCCCTGCCTGATTCTCCTGCCTCAGCCTGCAGAGTGCCTGCCATTGCAGGCGTGCGCCGCCACGCCTGACTGGTTTTCATATTTTTTTGGTGGAGACGGGGTTTCGCTGTGTTGGCCGGGCTGGTCTCCAGCTCCTAACCGCGAGTGATCTGCCAGCCTCGGCCTCCCGAGGTGCCGGGATTGCAGACGGAGTCTCGTTCACTCAGTGCTCAAAGTTGCCCAGGCTGGAGTGCAGTGGCGTGATCTTGGCTACCTACAACCTCCACCTCCCAGCCGCCTGCCTTGGCCTCCCAAAGTGCCGAGATTGCAGCCTCTGCCCGGCCGCCACCCCGTCTGGGAAGTGAGGAGCGTCTCTGCCTGGCCGCCCATCGTCTGGGATGTGAGGAGCCCCCTCTGCCCGGCTGCCCAGTCTGGGAAATGAGGAGCGCCTCTTCCCGGCCGCCATCCCGTCTAGGAAGTGATGAGCGGCTCTGCCCGGCCGCCCATTGTCTGAGATGTGGGGAGCGCCTCTGCCCTGCCGCCCCGTCTGGGATGTGAGGAGAGCCTATGCCCGGCCGCAACCCTGTCTGGGAGGTGAGGAGCATCTCTGCCTGGCCGCCCTGTCTGAGAAGTGAGGAGTCCCTCTGCCCGGCAGCCGCCCCGTCTGAGAAGTGAGGAGCCCCTTTGCCTGGCAGCTGCCCCGTCTGAGAAGTGAGGAGCCCCTCCGCCCAGCAGCCGCCCCGTCGGAGAAGTGAGGAGCCCCTCCGCCCAGCAGCCGCCCCGTCTGGGAAGTGAGGAGCGTCTCCGCTGGGCAGCCACCCCATCCGGGAGGTGGGGGGCAGCCCCCGCCCGGCCGCCGCCCCGTCTGGGAGGTGGGGGGCGCCTCTGCCCGGCCGCCCCTTCTGGGAAGTGAGGAGCCCCTCTGCCCGGCTGCCACCCCGTCTGGGAGGTGTACCCAGCAGCTCATTGAGAACAGGCCATGATGACGTTGGCGGTTTTGTCGAGTAGAAAAGGGGGAAATGTGGGGAAAAGATACAGAAATCAGATTGTTGCTGTGTCTGTGTAGAAAGAAGTAGACATAGGAGACTCCATTTTGTTCTGTACTAAGAAAAATTCTTCTGCCTTGGGATGCTGTTGATCTATGACCTTGCCCCCAACCCGGTGCTCTCTGAAACATGTGCTGTGTCCACTCAGGGTTAAATGGATTAAGGGCGGTGCAAGATGTGCTTTGTTAAACAGATGCTTGAAGGCAGCATGCTCGTTAAGAGTCATCACTACTCCCTAATCTCAAGTACCCAGGGACACAAACACTACGGAAGGCCGCAGGGTCCTCTGCCTAGGAAAACCAGAGACCTTTGTTCACTTGTTTATCTGCTGACCTTCCCTCCATTATTGTCCTATGACCCTGCCAAATCCCCCTCTGCGAGAAACACCCAAGAATGATCAATTAAAAAAAAAAGATTGTTTAACCTCAGAACTAATGTTGAGGCACAATATTTATCTTCAGGCAGCAGTCAAAATACTAGGTTGTCTTTGAAGTCTAGAAACTTATCTTATATTTGCCAACACAATGTATTGATCCACTTTTAGGAGCCATGTCCAGATCTCCTTTATCCATCAGGTACGCCATCCCCAGCTACCCTGAGTGTTGGCTACTATAGTTCAGAGATGTGCTATTTATCACAGAATACCCTCAGATGACAGGAGGCAGCTTGCCCAGAAATGCCTTGAAAGTTACACTACCCCCACCTCCCAGCAGATTGCAGCCAATGACTGAACAATATGTGAGAATGAAAGACTGGCTCCCTTGCCTGGCAGTGGGAAAATTCTGTGCTCCTATTCATATTCCAGAGCTCCTTGTGGGCAGAGACTGAGGCTGGACCTCTTCAGAAACCACATTTCTGCTGAGCTTTTTCCTCTGCCCTTTCTGGCTTCCTCTACTTCTCTCTAAGATTCTCTTTCCTTAAATCACTTGTGCAAGATAACCCATCTCAGGCTCTGTTTCTAGGGACCCTGAGCTAAGACATATGCTGTGATTCTAAAGCAAAACACATTTGCTCTTGAATACTCTTGTTCTAACAGAAGGCTAATTGAATAATAATCCTACATTGGCTCTTATTTAATTTATTCCTAAGTAACTTTCCAAATGGTATATGCTTTAAATTATGAAAGATTTAAAGAGCATTTGGATTTACCTCAGAAGTGTATCCTTCAGTATTTAAGTCAAGAAATGAGAGCTGTCCTCTGTCGGTGTGCCCACAGCCCAGCCAAATGCTTGCATTCCTGCTGTTGTGATGTGTAGCAACCATGCATTCAACAATTACGTTTTTAGGTAATAAAATGCGTCTCGTCAGACAGACTAATTCAGCTGAATTCAAAATGTCAAAGACCTGAGAAAGTTTAAAGATAACAAAACAGTACTTATCGAGTTAACTCATTTCCCTTGAAAAATCAAATATAGACTGAAGTGTTATAGCTCTGTCAAGCAAAACCTAAAACTGTTAAACTGGAACCCAACTAGATCACCAAGATTAGTAATCTAAACTACAAATAAAATTACATGAAAAGACAAATATGTATTTTTAAACTGTGCTTGATACTCTTTGGTATGTGTAGTATTTTTTTTAACTTGAAAAGAAAATCTCAAGGGTCAATTAAACAGGATTTTAGCGGAGTCAGGAGGTACTCTGCATGCAATTCTATATTGCAGAGCCACCGCCAGTGAGAGAAAAACCCTTGGGCCAACAATTTAGTTGAGCTTCTAGTAGTTGAAAGGAACAGGAATTTCAGTCTTTGGTAACAAAATTTAGAAGTCATCTCTAGATTCTGTTTTTGATCTGGAGAGACAGTGTGAAGGCACCGTAAGAAAACAGAACCAGAAGTCAGGAAACTGGGATTAGAGCTGTGACATGGCCACCTGCCCGCCACTCAGGAGACACCAAGAAAGCCCATTACTCTGTCTGTGCCTCATTTCATAAAAGTGATGAGTTTTCCTGTCTTGCCTAGTATATGTTATATTTTAAACATAAAATAAGTATGTCTAAGCTTTTTAATATTGTCATATATATACATATTTGTTAAGTATTCTGTTAAGTATAGGTGAAGTATAATTGAAAATGAAAAAACAAGAAAGAAAAACAACAAGCTATGAAAAATTTTTACTGTGGACATAAATATAAAAGTTCATGTGACTAACATTGATGGTAACCTAAATTAAAAAACAAGTAAACCAAGTAGAAGAAAAATTATGTAATATTTGATAAAGTCATTATAGTTGTACTTGACTATTTTGATCAGAATACTTAAAGTTAAAACTTTTCCAATTAATTATAATACCAAATCAAGAGCTCACAACATAAAGATAACCCACATTTATTAAAATGTGTATCAGTGTAAAACATGACAAGAGTTCTCTTTCAGATAATATGGTGGACAAGGTTACTTGGGCAAATCTTCCAACTAAAAACAATTTAAAATGCTAAATGATTTTTTTAAAAACAATGTATTAAAAACATTGAAGATCTGACACCATAAGGAATTATCAGGCCGAAATCACAGTGAGAGACAGAAACCAGAGAGGTCAGTGGACCCCTAAAGCCAGACTTGCCCTGAAGACATTTGTCTGCCAAGACAAAGTGAGATAATATAAATGTATACTCTTGGATGCTTTGTGGGGCCCATGGGAGAGAAGTTGGAGTCTAGGGCCTTCCCAAGATAGACAGTCTTAGTAAAGGGACTGTACCTATAAAGCTGGGACCCCAAAGGACTGCATATTCAGCATAAACAAGAAGGAGAAATCAACCTGTCCACATTTCCACCTTCATTGGTATATAAGGAAAGTTGTTCTGGGACTGTGCAGGGAGCGGGGAGAGGGAGCAAAAGGTTGCTGAAAAATTGCTACTCACAAGCTTGTTGTCAATACAATTCATAGACCAGATTTACGTTAACTGGGCAGTTAAAAAACAAATCTCAAGCCATGAACTGCATTTAAAGCAATTTGCAGCAAGAAAATCCAGCAAAAGATATGCAAGACCTGTATGTAGCATTACAAAACTTTATTGAAAGACGCTTGAGAAGACCTAAGTAAACAGAGAGAATTCATGCCATTCCAGAATAGGAAGACTTGGCCAGGTGCAGTTGCTCATGCACTTTGGGAGGCCTAGGCGGGAGGATTGCTTGAGGCCAGGAGTTCAAGACCAGCCTGGGCAACAGAGTGAGACCCTTTCTCTACAAAAAAATTAAAGGAAAAGTTAACCAGGTCTGGTGGCACACAATTGGCTGATGGAGACTGAGGCGACAGGATCACTTGAGCCCAGGAGGTCAAAGCTGCATTGAGCTGTGATCCTGCCACTGCACTCCAGCACTCCAGCCTGGGTGACAGAGTGAGACCCTGCCTCTAAATAAATAAATAAATAAGAAAAAGAATACAAAGACTTAATATCATAAGGATATCATCTCCAGATTGTCAACATATTCAATCCAAGACCAATCCAAACGACAATGTGGTTTTTCATAAGATTTGACAGCATGATTCTAAATTTTATATAGAAAAGCTAAGCCTAAGACTGGTTAAAATATTCCTGGATGAGAAAAATAAATAGGGAGAGGAGATCATTATAAAGCTACAGGAATTAAGACAGGGTAATACTGGAGGAAAAATAAATGAGTTGATCAGTGGAAGACAGTGTACACGTGGATATGCACATTATCTTTAATAAATTACAAAATGGACACATCAGATCTATGGGACAAAAGGGGAGAAGCCATTTAGTAAATCAACCTGAAAAAATTAGTCTTCCACATTAAAAAAAGGAATGGGATACAGATAAAAATGTCAATTCCAATGGATTAAAATCTTGTCAAAAGCAAACTTTTAAAATGTTTGAAGAAATTGCAGGTAAATATTTTTGTAGCTCTAAAAGAAAGATGGGCTCTACAACAGGACCAAATAGGAATAACCAGGAAAAGAAGGAAAAAGAAGAATTGTTAAATTTATATATATTAAAATTAAGAAATTCCATTCATTAACGGGCACCCTACAAGAAATTTAAAAAGCAAGCCACCAGCTCGAAAAAGAAATTGCAACATATAAAACCAAGAAAGGATTAGTATGTTATATATAAAAATTTTTTTCTGATTTGATTTGTAGGCAAAAGAGTCAACAGAAAAATGGGCAAAATAATGGGCAGGCATTTCAAAGAAGAGAAGAGGAGACAGGCATATGGGAGCATGTGAGGTTTTGGCAATGTCCTTTTTTTGTGCCTGGGATGGTGAAAATTATAGGAGGTTTGCCTTATAACTATTTTTAATTCTGTCTCTGTGTGTTTATGTGTTTAAGTATATATATTTGAAGATTATATATATATGCATATATGCAAATGATGTTCTGTACAAAATATTAACAAAACTTTAAGAATACCTGGGCAGAAGTAGGCCTTTCTTGAGGATTTTCTTTCAAACACTGTTTAATTAATTTCTCAACCATAGGCCATGGGGCACAACCATATTCTTTAACTGGATCTAAAACATTAAAAAACATCATGCTAGCATACTAAATAAGTAAGAATGGTTATATTTCCTCTCAATGTTTATAAAAGGTCCAGACATTGCAAAGAAAAATATTATCTCCATAATCCTATATTTATGTAAATTTACTTGTCACAAAATTAAAGCTAATTTTGTTAACTTGATCTCCACTAAGAGATGTGGAAAAGATTTTTTTTTTATGGAATAAAAAGAGACCCAAATAACGATTTAATAAAATAACAGATTTTCATTCTGTACCTGCATTTCAAATAGACTTTGGAAACACTTTTACTCATATAATAAAGCTTCTACTTTTTATTTTAATACTCAAAGTAAGCAAGCATTTAATCCTTATGTCCTCACAGATGGTTTGTGCACATTTGTTTTTTATAAGAGGCGTAGCTTATTCTGGTTGATGCAGAACACAGAACTGAATTTTTTTTTTTAAGATGGAGTCTCACTTTGTTGCTTAGGCTGGAGTGCAGTGGCGCAATCTCGGCTCACTGCAACCTCCCAGGTTCAAGCTATTCTCGTGCCTCAGCCTCCTTGGTAGCTGGGACTACACGCACATGCCACCATGCCCAGCTACTTTTTGTATTTTTAGTAGAGACAGGGTTTCACCATGTTGGCCAGGCTGGTCTCCAGCTCCTGGCCTCAAGTGATCTGCCTGCCTGGGCCTCCCAAAGTGCTGGGATTACAGGCGTAAGCCACTGTACCCAGCAGAGACCTGAATATTTTCACTAGAAAACTAGTAAAATAAGGGAAATAACCTAGATTATATCTAAGGTTTATCCAATTAATAATAAGTTTTCTTTTGCCATGATCTTGAAGTTATACCCAAAAAAGATAAAGCTCTATTTCCTGTACATGGCACATTGTGTACACTCAAAAGTATTTTTTAAATGAAAGGGAAAGCAGAAAATATGAGAAAGAGCTAAATAAACTTAAAATGTTATTTTGTGGTGAGAACTAAAGTAATGGTTAAGGAATGAATTACAAAGTCCTCTAATTTCTTGAAAGCATGAGACAACCATTCCAAATGAGCTTTGATAACATTAAATACACATTTACCGATTCTTATGAAAAATTATTATTATAGATCATTCAGTCTTCCATTCCTGCATGTAAATTATTTCACTCCAAGAAAACGAAAACATTCCAGGATAATGAGTACACAGTAATTCTTTATGAAAATTAAAAATCACCAAATGTGGAGTTCTAACAGCAATTTCCTTCTCTATGTTTCTAAATATAATATTAACTACACCAATATTAATTGCGGATTTTTTAAAAAGCCTAAAACTGCTACCTTTTTCAGGTGATTTTTATTAATATATCACAAGATTTAAGAATATTTATGCACTAAACAAAAAAAATGATCATCTGTTTAAGGAATTAAGCATACAACTACAATTAAATAAAAATGAAGCTGCTGATATTAAGAAAAAAAATCTTCATTGTAGAGAAAACAGAACTTACCAGGTAATTTTCCTTGTATTTCTAATTCATCAAACTCATTTGGAAACTTCAAACCCTCTACTATTCTACCTCCAGTTGTCAAAATGTCATAGAGTAGTAAACCAAATGAATAAACATCAGCCTGTTGGTTATAAATGACATTTCCTCTGGCAACTTCAGGTGCACGAAACCCTGAAAGTAAGCAGATAAAATAATAAATATGACCAACATCAGGGCTCATACATCCAAGGAGGCATACACTTAGGCTATATGCCAAATAAGAGAGTCAGGAAGAGATGTTCTAAACCAGGCTGTGTTATTTTTATAACAAGGTACCTTGATCAAGTCAATTAATTGTCCTGTCTCATAACATCTCACCCCCCAAGGTTGACCACACAGGACAATAAAATCCTTCAATCTTTATTATAAATATCTTCAATCTTCAATAAAATTACCTTGAATGATAATAAGGATAAACATTCAATGGTAAGTTATTAAGTAGAATTTCATAATTAAGAAATAAAGTGTACTAGGAAAACCTATACCATTTTTCTCGTTCCTAATATTAACTATTTCCAGGACAGTGTTTTAAAAACAGGAGAGATGAGTAGAAAGGAGATTTCTAAACTTCACTCCAACTCACTTTAACCTGAACAAAATTCTAACACTCTCATTATTTCCTGAACTTGTCTCTCTGCTCCTTCTACCCAAAAAATAAAAAATAAAAATAAAAACAACAACTAAAACAAAAAAAAAAGCCTTCTCTCTTGGGTTCATGCCTGAAATTCTTTTAAGGGGAAATAAATATTTTATTCCATAAGACAGATAAATTACTTTTAAATTCTTCAGAAAAAAAGAGTGATTTCAACATTTGTGATAATAATAAAAATATAATCAACCTAAAGACATCCAATCACAAAGGGAAATGGTTAAACAATGTATACCATGCAGTAACTTAGGGATCACTTTCTAAGATGATATGCTATGACATAAATTAAAAGAATATGTAAGACATAATCGTGGATAGACAGAAAGTTATCAAATATGTGGAAAAAATCAACTGAATTAATTTTCTTAGCTGTGATAATGGTATTATGATTATGTAAGTAAACATCCTTATTCTAAAGAAATATACACACTGTTCAGAGGTGATATGGCATGATGTCTACAACTTAATTTCAATGATTCATTCATACGCAAAGAGAGCAAGAAAGAACAAGTAGGGCAAAAAGTAAATAATCAATGAATTTATGCGTCGGGTATATGAGTATGAATGTATATTGTACTACTCTTTCTTTCTTTTTTTTTTTTTTTTTTTTTTTGAGATGGAGTCTCACTCTCTTGCCCAGGCTGGAGTGCAGGGGTGTGATCTTGGCTTACTGCAACCTCTGCCTCCTGGGTTCAAGCGATTCTCCTGCCTCAGCCTCCCGAGTAGCTGGGATTACAGGTGCCCACCACCGTGCCCAGCTGATTTTTGTATTTTTAGTAGTGACAGGGTTTCACCATGTTGGTCAGGCTGGTCTTGAACTCCTGACCTCAAGTGATCCACCCACCTCGGCCTCCCAAAGTGTTGGGATTACAGGCAGGAGCCACTGCACCCAGCCTGTACTACTCTTTCAACTGTTCTTTAGGCTTAAACATTTTCAAAATAAAAAGTTGATGGGAATGTACATAATTAAAATCTAGGAAGAAATACATCCCAATATAATTATTATTTCATTTGCTAAAATTATCTGTGCATTTTATCTTCCTTTTTATTTCCAAAATTTTTACAATGAACTTATATGATTGTTAAAGTAATTTAAATATGCAGCCAGAAAAATATAACGAAGTATGAATTCATAGCCTTCAAGGAGCAAATGACTGAATTTGGAAACAGTTCTATTTGACAGAGAGACTACCAGCAAAAGATGGAGCTCAGCAGTCCTCACCATGCTGGAAAAGCATGAAGAGTTGGAAGGATGGAGACATCGAATTTGAGTATGATAACCCCTACTACACTAACTGATAACATTTCCCCACATATATGCATGTAAATATATTGTATACATAGTAATATATTAATATAATTACATATAATTATCATGTGAATTAGCATAATTTACATACTATATTGTTACAGATACAATGTTTCAGACCTAAATATATTATACATTTCCTTAGAATAAGGGCATTTTCCTATATAACCATAATATAATTCTCAAAATCTAAGTTAAAGAATTGTGTAATTAAGATAAAACATATCCCTAATAAAGTGCACCTGTGACATAATGTAAACAAATCACAATAGCTCCTAATTCATCTCTCTCTACTATTTTACAGACACCTTATTGAACATTTCATTTGATTTGCATAAGAATCATCTGTGGTAGACAGATAAGGACTTTCTATTTTACAAACGACATAATCCTTTCAGAAATGTGTGTATTTTCCTAAGGCCACACAGATAATGAACAGCAAAGTCAAGAGTACTTAAAAATAATGAGCTACCCACACAGTCACTAGTTCATTAACAACCTTTATGCTTCCCTTCTTAGAATGTGGAAGAGATTTTGGAGGCTTATTTAAATCTTAACCAGTTATTTATTATTCATTGAGCACATTTATTAGGTATCTATTATATCTAGGTACTATTCAAAAACTATTTAAATGTTCAGCATATTTTTTCTTGATAAATGTACTGTTAGAATTTGGAATCACAGGCTCTTAAAGCAGGAAAAGACTCTAGGGGTCATTTCGTCTAATTCTAAATTCTCATCCAGTGCACACATCCTTTTACAATAGTTTTTACCCCTCTAGGCAACAATCCGAAGATGGTAGAGCTGTGAAGAAGGTTGGGATTTTTTTTCACAATGAGTCAGAGAACTCAGAGAAAGATAACTGTGAAGATATGGAAATGAATATTTACTTCAATATGGAAATGCTTTTAAACTTCTAATCTTCTCCTTTTCAAAGTAAATATCTTCATTGGCATGATCTCTAGCATGAAAACATAATATTATTTATATATTCATAAAGTGCCTCAATTATAATATAATACCCTTCTAAAAGCTTCTTTAAATTCATCCAATGAATTTCTAGTGTTCTTGATTGCACTAACAATTTCTTGATGAACATCATGCCACTATTAAGTGGTAGAGCCAGTTTGATGCTTAGTAAATGTTCAATGTATTGTTGCCAAATGAATGAATAAATGAATAAAAAATAAGTATAATTTCCCCTTGGATAATTATCATAATGATTACAATGTTAAAATACTTGAGAAAATATGATTCATTGTCTAAAAACTATTTTTAAAAATAATTTTTCAGAGAAGCCTGCATTTTAACAAACGCAATAAGTAAATAAAGAAAAGATCCACGGATGAAGGATAAGAGAAATTTATGAATTAAGTCTGAGTACATATCACATTGTGTACTGAAACATATCTTTTATTTTTTACTTTCAGAGAAGTATGAGTAGAGTATGTTCCATAATCTCCATCAGATATTCATGTATGTCCAGCCGGTAACATTTTATTTACCCGAAGACTATAGTATTTATATGGGTGTGTTAAATACTATCGCATTAGTTAAATGTTAAAGCCATCAGTCAGCATTCATCTCAGTCAAAAGTGCAATTGCCATAGGACCCAGAATTAACTGTCACTCCCAGCAGGATATGATATAAATGTATCCATCTGACTGAGTTAATGTTGAAACTCTCCAAGTTATTTAAAGGTGAAAATATCCAAACCATAATTATCTTCAAAATGTGGACAGACACAGCACCATGGTCCCTGTCAATAATTGCATTGTTTCTGTCTCTGCGTCCCCAGCTATCACAGTGCTGGACCAGGAGCTCTGCTCTCAGGCTGCTTGGGTTTGCATTTTGTCCTACAGTTTTTGTCCCATAGGACCTTGTAAATGTTTTTTTATATTCTCTAAACTTTAGTCTCTGTATCTATAGACTAGAAATAATAATAGCACATATGTCAGAGGGTCCTAAGGATTGAGATACTTAACTCATGGATAGAGCTAAGCACAAGCCCAGCACATCGCTCATGCTCTGGAAGGTTCTGCTCCTAATACAGCCGTAATGGACCTACACTCATAATGCACACGCTGCAGTAAGAGTTAGTATAAAAATACACCCAAAAGGTTTAACAAATCCATCGTCTTTTGTTTCTCTAGAAGTTTCCATGTTAAAAGATGTAACATTAACAGGAAGATTCATTAAACGGAAAAGACAAGAAGATAACTGAAATTGTATGAGAGGGAACTGTTTCCTTCCCAAACAGAACTGCTTTGGGGAAGAAAAAGTTTGGTGATGGTAGTAGTAGTAGCAGTATTAGCAGGAGTGGGAGTTATTGTTATTTAAAATTGGAGGCAGAGTTTAGGGCTGAGATAATCAGAAGTGCTCTAACAATAATAAATAGAGTAATGATAAAGAGAAAATCTAGGTTACAGCCAGAAAAAAAAAAAAAGCTTACAAAGTACTAAGCAGCCTGTGAGAAGAGTAGGCAGAAAAGAAAAGATTAGGCCCTGGGTTTCTGACATGATCTGTCTCCATATTTATGTTACCACCATTCAATATTGGAGATTAAAAGGGATCAGGAAGAATTGTGTGGCTTGGTATGAAGAATCAGATGGATATTACATTTTAGACAGGTTTTCAGCAAAACCAGGAAGTCAGATACTGAAAATGAAAGGCCATGAGTCTGAACCAAGGTGAACTCAGCTGGCTGCTAGCTGGCCTAGACCACAGAGTGAAGAAGCAGAGCTCAAGTACAAGCGCACAGCCCACAGGGACCCGAGAGATCCACTGTCCAATTAAGCAGACAAGGCTTCAACAACAGATTTTCACCCCATGAACAGAAAGACTGGGTTGGGAGATGCAGAAAGAAGAAACTGAGTGGTCCAGTCCACCTTCATGTCCCATGACAAAAATGAGCAGATCTTTCAAGAGAAAATCACTGTCCCATGCCCACTTTTTCCAGGTGGAAATATATCAGGTCTATGGAATTTCATCCTTTAAGACTGTTTTTCCAAACCTCTCATTGACAATATTTGCTATTCATGGCTCTGTTGTTTTGTTTTGACTTTTTTAATAGTGAAGATTAAATAAGCTTCTTCATGTTAGAGTTGCATATGGTTTAGGAGAGACTATAGAATTTAAAGCCAAATATCTCTGGATCTGGTTCTCATTTAGACTGAATTCTTATCTTGGCCAATTACTGAGTGATATTCTGCAAGTTACATAATCTCCCTGAGCCTCAGTTTTCTCATTTGGCAAATGAGAAACTAATAGCTAACTTCCAGCCCTGGCATGAGGATAAGAGATCTTGTCTCTAATATACGTGGCACTGGGCCTGACGCACAGCAGGTACTCAAAAAATGATAATTAGTCTTATTATTATTGAACAACACAGAGACACTCTCAGCCAGAACATACACTTTGAAGTGTTTATGAGAATACACAGTCTACTTCTAAAATGTAACTATCCAAAACAAAAGAGTATATATGTATTTGGAGCAAAAATAAAACCAGGCATTGGAATCTGGGGCCATTTGCTTATCTAAGTACAAAAGTTGAGTGCGCAGGAAACGAACTAGAACCTTTTCCCTAGTGAGATATCCTGTAGCATATTTTCTTCTGTGCCAGGCACGGTGATTTAATTGAGTTGCAATCAGCAAGATGATGTATAGCCACCTGTAATTTTACTTACAAATAACTAACTATATAAAGTTTCCCTAAAGATAGAGTGTTCCCCACACTCCAAACAAATGCCAACCCCTAAATGATTTACTTCCTGCTCAAACTGATGTCTGAGACAACATGTCTGTACAGAGCACTGGCCCCATAACTGCTTTTCAGGATTGGGAACTAAGAAAGGGAGGTAAGATTCCACAGGGTAGACAGTGATGTGTACAGAAACCCTCAGTAGGGTCACGGCCAGCCCCCTGTACTCAAACATGTATATATTTCTGCAGCAAAATGTATGCATATTCACACTGAGCATGAGAAATAAAGATTGTAATAAGCAACAAGTCAGCTTGCTTAGGTTTTGACACCAAATTAGTCATTTTTTAAAAAATCTTGGGATTTTCAGAGTTCTTTGGGTTTCAGAATTATGAAAAAGAATTTGTGGACCTGAATTTGATTTGCCTCACAAGTGCCAACAATACCTAGACTAAAGTTTTTGCTGTTACTTTTTATGACCTCTAGAGTATCTAAAGAATCTACAAATCTAACTTTAAAACATATAACTTGATATCAAACATTCTCTTCTTTTTATTCAGTTTTTGCCCTGAAAAATTACATCAATTGTTTTTTTCCTACAAAATACAATGATAAAAATCACAATGTGATGCTTGCATTTTTTCACAAAATAAACCTCTGTTCACAATGTGATAGACTCTGTTTTCCTTTTGACTCTTCTGAACTCACATCTGAGGTCAGTGGTTATCCATCCTGAAGATAGAATTATGAGACAGACCTGATCACCTACCTGGTGTGCCCTCTGATGTTTTTATCCCCATTCTACAGCAGTACTGAGCAATGCCGTAGTCAGCAATCTTTGCAATGATGGCAGCATTGGGATACAGTGTGAAAAGCAGCACATTGTGGGGTTTCAGGTCTCGGTATATAATCATGGCTGAGTGGAGGTATCTGCCAGAAAATGCACAGGAAATCTTATTCAAATGTGATTACATTATAATAATTTTTGTCCTAATTTCCTTAAATATAAATGTCCACTATGTCAAGCATCAAAAATTCTGTGCTCACTTTGTCCCTTAAAGTTAAGAGATATTGTAGAAGGAAATCAAAACATATAAGTCTAATATTACACAGCAAAGTTATGCTTTAAAAAAGGGTCAAATCTGATAAGTGAATGATTTCAATTTTAAGACAAATCTATCTCAGGCAAAGACCCAATTTTTGGAGACTTTTCTTTTGTATATGTGAACAATTACTTAAAGGCAATTCTGAATTCTCTCAATGATCATATGAATATTTTAACTATTTCAAAATGTAAGTATGTTAAATAAGAATTGATGGGATTTTGTTGTACTTGCCATTTATTTAATAGTTTTGATTTTCCTAAAACCACATAGAGGTTTAGCTCAGCTTTAAAATTTTTCTCTATTCTATTTATCATTGATATTTATTTTTCTGACTAAAATGTTTCCCAATGTTTGGAAAATATTTTCTACTTTTTGGATGAAAACAAATGAAAATATAAGACTTTTGCTTGCTATTAGTCTCTTCTTCTGTTTGAGTATATAATTTACCATAAACCTAATCATGTTAGATATTAAGGTTAAAAAAGAAAATTTGGGGCTAAGAGTTAGAATGAATACAATTTTGTCTTGGAAAAGATGACGGGTAATATTAAAGTCCAACCTTCTGGAGACTGACCCACGCAATCACGAGCAACTAGAGTTGGACATTTCAGGCAAAGAGTAAAAGATAGTTAATATAAAAAAACAGTGTAAAGTTTTCATCTCAACCAGGTCTTATCCATTCTGGAAACATGGTCAAAGAGCTTACCGCATCTCAGCTACTAATGTTATTATCACATTAGATGTCTATAAAATTCTGATTTCCAACTCTGTCTTCTCTGCCCCATGATGTCAAATTGACTACAGCATTTCATGTGATGTCACAGGTATGTTATAACCTATGTTGAAAATAATTTCTCACAAGACTTAATGGAGTTAAATTTAAATCCTTTGCTTATTCGTGACTGTTGGTTTTGGCTCACATTATATCAATTAATAGTTACTCCATCACCTAGCACCAATCACTTCTGGAAGGATTAGAAGCAGAGCAGCAACGATACCCTGAACTTTCAATTGTATGAGGGCCTGGAGAGTACATATTATTTAACTGCATCAACTAATACAGCTGAAGATTCTCTCTCTTCCAGGATGTAGTCGGGACATTTGACATTAGGCCCATTCATTTCAATATACCTATTTTGGGCTGAAAAAAATAAGATAAATACACTAATGAAGTTGACCTTCACAGTAAGTAATGGGCTTGA